>NC_000012.12:69278309-69429824 GCF_000001405.40 Homo sapiens
AGGATTTACATGCTGTCAGTTTCAAAATTTATATTTCCAATTCAGATGGGCTAATATTTCAGCCCCTCCTCTCCCCTATCTGCCTGTTCACAGTCTTACCCAACAGCGAATATAAATACTGTCATTTCAGTTGTGTAGGCCCAAAACAGATCACTCTTGACTCCTCACACCCTACATCTACAGGGAAGTACTTTGTCTCTACCACCAGAAAATACCTGGGACCTCTTACTAATGCTGGGGTTGCTCTCTGCCTTTGCCACTGCACAGTCTGTTGTCAGTATAGCTGTCAGTCTATATTGTTTCTTAAAAATCCTGCAGTGCCTCCCTATTTCTTAAGAGACAGGATCTCTGTCACCCAGGTTTGAGTGCAGTGGTGTGACCATAGCTCACTGCAACCTTGAACTCCTGGATTCAAACGATCCTCACACCTCAACCTCCCAGAGCACTAGGATTACAGGTTTGAGCCACCTCACCCAGCCCACTCTTCAGTTCTATCAGAGTAAAGCTGCAGTCCTGGCAGTCCTGACAAAAGTCTCTCCATGATTTGCTCCCCCATTCCCCCCACTCTCACTTTGGTTGGAGTGTAGTAGCATGAGCTCAGCTCACTGCAACCTCCACCTCCTGATCTCAAGCAATTCTCCCACCCCAGCCTCCTGAGTAGCTGGAGGTGCGCACCACCACACCTGGCTAATTTTTGTCAGTTTTGTAGAGATGGGCTTTTTGCCATCTTGCCAAGGCCGGACTCAAATTCCTGGACTCAAGCTCCTCCTGCCTCAGCCCCCCAAAGTGCTGGGATTACTGGCATGAACTGCTGCGCCCAACCAATTTGGCTTCTCTTACCTCTGACCAGATCTACCAGTACCTTTCCCCATGCTCACTCCATTCTAGCCACTCTGGCCTTGTTTTTCAAACAGGTTAGGTATCGTCATGTGTCTGAGCCGTTGTGTGGGCCATTTCCCCTGCCTGGAATGCTGGAGATAGCTGCCTGAGAAGAATCTCAGTGAGGTTTGTTTTTACCATTCTATTGAATGGAAACTGCTACCTCCCTTAATTGCTTTATTCTTTACTCTTCCCATGCATTTATGACCTAGCACTATGTATTTTGCTTGTTCGTTCAAATATAAAGTCCCATGAAAGCAAGGATCTTATTGTAGTTTCTGTTAAATCCCAAGTGTCTACATCAGCTTGTGGCAAGCAAATGTTAATATTTGAATGAAGGATCTTGAATTGTAGTTCTGCCTCACTGTCTTGTTAGCAACTATTTTAAGAGCTGCGTCAGCATGTTTAAAATTGTAAAGCATATAGAAGTTGACATTCTAACAATTTTTAAGCATACAATTCAGTGGCATTAAATACATTCACAGTGTTTTGCAACCATCACCACTATCCATTTCCAGAACTTTTCCATCATCCCAAACAAACTCCCCATTCCCACCCTAGCCCCAGTCCCCGATCATCTCTCTTGTACTTCTGTCTCTGAATTTGCCTATTCTGGCTACATCATATAAACAGAATCATACAATATTTGTGTTTTGGCTCTGGTTTATTTCACTTAGTATGTTTTTTGTTTTTTTGAGACGGAGTCTCGCTGTGTCGCCCAGGCTGGAGTGCAGTGGTGCAATCTCGGCTCACTGCAAGCTCCGCCTCCCGGATTCATGCCATTCTCCTGCCTCAGCCTCCCGAGTAGCTGGGACTACAGGTGCCCGCCACCACACCAGGCTAATTTTTTATATTTTTAGTAGAGATGGGGTTTCACCGTGTTAGCCAGGATGGTCTCAATGTCCTGACCTCATGATCCGCCCGCCTCGGCCTCCCAAAGTGCTGGGATTACAGGTGTGAGCCACTGCGCCTGGCTATTTCACTTGGTATGTTTTTAAGATTCATCCATGTTGTAGCATGTGTCAATATGTGGCTGAATATCATCCCATTTTATGTACATATATGCCACATGTTTATCCATCTGTCAGTGGACAGCTTGTTTCTACCTTTTGAATATTGTGAATAATGCTACTATGAACATAGGTGTACAACTATCTGTAAGTCCCTGTTTTCAGTTCTGGGTATATAGGAGTGAAATTGCTGGGTAATGGTAATTCTATGTTTAACTTTTTGGGGAATCATGAAACTTTCCCACAGCTACTATACCATTTTACGTTCTCACCAGCAGTGCATGAAGATTGTAGTTTCTGTACATCCTCAACAATACTTATGCTTTTCTTTTTATCTGATAGTAGTCATCCTAATGGGGACAAGTGGTTATTTCATTGTTAATGGCAATTTTTAAAGCAGCTCATTTTTATGGAGACTTTACAAAGTACTTAACTTGCCGGGCATAGTGGCTCATGTCTGTAATCCCAGCACTTTGGGAGGCCAAGGCGGGTGGGTCGCTTGAGCTCAGGAGTTCTAGCCTGGGTAGTATGGTGAAACCCCATCTCTACAAAAATACAAAAATTAGCTGGATGTGGTGGCACAGGCTTGTGGTCCCAGCTACTCAGGAGAATGATGCGGGAGTCTCGCCTGAGCGTGGTAGGTCGAGGCTGCAGCAAGTGAAGATTGTCCCACTGCACCCCAGGTTGTGCGACAGACACTCAGTGAGACCCTGTCTCAAAAAGAAAAACCAAAGTAAACTTAGTTTTCATTGAACCAATTCTCTTTTGCACTCAAATGTTTCATTGGTTTACATAATACTGAGATGAAATCACAAGCAAAATTACCATTGACATAGTTTAGAAATAAACAGCTGACTCTAAACATTACTAGTAGCATGAGTTCTTGGATATGATGTATTTTGTGTGACTAAGTCAGTTTTATAGAGAGAATGTATAGTTAGGTTATGTGGGGCCAACTGAGGGCTTTTAGAATATTGACATTTTCTTAAATGCTCTAAGTTTGCTCCTGAAAGTATGGTCTACAGGGTATCAACATTGGCATCACCTGGTCTGGGAACTGGTCACAAGTGCAGAATGTACCATGCGAAATCAAAATGTACATTTGAGCAAGATCCCCAGTGATTTGTATGCACATTAAAGATTGACAAATTGTGCCTTTAAACTACTTTTAATGGCTACCTGGTGTTTCAACTTGTAACATAATTTTAACCAGTTCTTGCCACTGGGTGTTCAGGTTATTTCACTAGGTTTTTGAGTATTATAAAGGATGCTGCAATGAATTTCCTTATAGGTAAATCTTAGTGCAAATATCTGTTTTCCAGTAATGAATTTCTTGGAGTGCTTGATTCAGAGTATGAATATTTGAGTTTTTGACACATTAAATTGTCCCGATTTACTTTTACCCAAGCTGTATGTGAAAATGTGTATTTCTCCACATTCTTTTCAGTAATTAGTGCTTTTAAAAATCTATCTTAGTGGTGGAAATGGGTATCTTATTTTTAACTATTTCGTGATTGTTAGAGTGGCTTAAATATATTTAAATGTTAGTTGTGTGCTTCCATCTAGAGATAGGCGTACATAAGAAATGAATCGGTAAATCATGATTTGGTATTTCCATTTTAATAATTGAGGAAACAGTTCAGTAATACAACCAGTAAAGGGCAGACCCAGGAACTGAAGATCTGATTTAGGAACCAAGAAAGATCTGAAAGATCCTTTTCTAATCTATCAAACCAGAATTAACCTAATATATTCTATTATGGTGGAGTTAGCTAATCAAATCAAACCCTTTTTATTTCCATTCTTATACTGAAAATGTTTCTAAGTTTACTTAGTGCACACAATGAGAGTCATTTAAAAGGAAGTTATTTAGTATTTAGATTGTTACCTTAGAGAATCCTTAGATAATACTTTTATTTTTATGTAGGGTCTCACTCTGTCACCCAGGCTGGCGTGCAGTGGCATGATCATGGTTCATCATAGCCTCAACCTCCTGGGCTCAAGCCTCCCGCATAGCGGGGACTACAGATGTGCACCACCACACCCAGCTGATTTTTGTATTTTTTGTAGAGGCGGATTTTGCCATGTTGCCCAGGCTGGTCTCAGATCCTGGGCTCAAGTGATCCACCCTCCTCGGCCTCCCAAAAGTGCTGGGATTGCAGGCGTGAGCCACTGCACCTGGCCTGAGAATACATTTACTTTTTTTTTTTTTTTTTTAAGGAAATTTATAGTATCCTAACATTCTGAATAGAATTCTCATGGTAGGTGTAAGAAAGTGGTCTTAATTTTACTTAGCTATGTAATGCTGCTTTTTGTTTTTGTTTTTAGCCCTAGGTGAAAGCCTATTATAGGCTATATATATAAATATATATATAATATATATATTACATATTATATATATTATATATATAATATATTACATATTATATATAATATATTACATATTATATATAATATATTACATATTATATATAATATATTACATATTATATATAATATATTACATATTATATATAATATATTACATATTATATATAATATATTACATATTATATATAATATATTACATATTATATATAAAATATATTACATTTATATATATAATATATTACATATTATATATAATATATTACATATTATATATAATATATTACATATTATATATAATATATTACATATTATATGATATATTACATATTATATATATTATATATATAATATATATATGTAGCATTTGAATGTCTATGTATGTGGTATTCAGGAAGGAGATACAAAGACAGTGAATATTACTTCTGTTTTTTTAGGAGCCAGGAAATAAAATAATTTCCATTCAGTGAGTAACTCAAAGTGATTGCAATGTGCAAAATACCTTGAGCATACAAAGAAAAAACAATTGGCTGTCCAGAAGAAAGGAACTAAAGAGACTAATATGTGCTTTTCCATATGTTATTTCATGTAAGTGTTAAAAACAGTCCTATTGGGATTCCTTGTTTACAGGTGAGGTAAGGTATTTTGTAAGATTCAGTAGCAGAGCAGTGATCCACGTTAGGAGTCAGAAAAGCCAACCCAGAGAATGTGACAGTAGAACTGACTCTTAGAGGTCATTATTTGAAGATATGAGGTGATATGTATATTGTGAAAGAATCTACAGATACATTAATAGGCTTAAAAAATTTAGCAAGATCAATGAATACAAAGTCAGTTTAGAAGCCAGATATAATGGAGCTAGTTTTAAATTTAATAAAAGGTGTGCAAAGTGCTCTTTGTAGAAAGTTTTAAACCTTTACTGAAAGACATTAAGATAGACCCAAATCAATGGACATCTGTTTGCTCCTGAAAGTGTGTTCTACAGACTGGCATCGTTGACATCAATATTCCTGTTGTCGGGTAGGAGGAATCAGTATCATTAAATATGACAGCTCCTCCCAAATCTATAGCATCAATGCAAATCAGAATAATATCCCAAGAAGTTTGTTACTGAATATGACTATCTGGTTCTAAATTTTATATGGAAGCTCAAAAACAAATGATAACCAAGAGGGAGGTGGAGTGAGACTTGCCTTACCAGATACTAAGCCGTATTGTAAGTAAGATAATACAGACTTGATGCAGGAATAGACCATAGAACAATATACAGAGACTAGAAACCACATATGAAAACTAGATTTATGATAGAATGGGAATCTCATACATAAATATCAATTCTAGGTGGATTAAATGTGGACTTAATGTAAGAGGCAAAGCCAGACTCTTAAGAATAAATTATAGGAAATAATTGTATGACCTTGGATTGGAGAAGGAGTTCTTAAGACATAAAAGGACAAATTATAAAGGGAAAGATTGATAAATTTGAATAAAATTAAGAACTCCTGATTATTAAAAGAGTGAAACGAAAAGTCCCAGACTAGGAGAAGATATTGAAACACAGATAATTGACAAAAGGACTTTTATCAAGAATAGATAATAAACCATACATATATGAGAACAATAGAAACCCAATAGAAAAATGGTCAACTCGGGCCGCCGCCGCTGCCGCTGAATCATTTGAGCTGCAGCGGGCGGTTTCGGCTCTTGGCCAGGAGCCACTTGTGCGGCTGCCCAGAGAACCAGAGGTCCTCGATCCCGTGTCGTCTTCCTCTTCGCCCCCAGGAGGAGCGAGAGGGAGCCGCGGTTGATGTGAGAAATAGACTTCCGGGAAATGGCCTCTAAATCCTGGCTGAATTTTTTAGCCTTCCTCTGTGGATCGGCAATAGGATTTTTTGTTGTTTTTTTTTTTTTAACGTTCTCAGCTATTTAGTATTTTGGGAGAATAGGGTGACACCCAGCCTAATATTCTTCATAATGATCCTCATGCGAGGCATTCAGATGATAATGGCACAATCATCTAGAAGGACAAATGAACTTCAATGCTGATTCTAGCCAACATAAAGATGAGAACACCGACATCGCTGAAAACCTCTATCAGAAAGTTAAAATTCTTTGCTGGGTTATGACAAGCCCTTAAAACCTAGAGAAAAAGGCCAAACTTATCAAAGTTACATGGGCCCAGCATTGTCACAAAGTGTTATGAGTTCAAAAGAAAATAAAGACTTCCCTACTGTGGGATTGAAAACCAAAGAAGGCAGAGATCAGCTATACTGGAAAACAAAGCTTTTCAGTATGTTCATGAACATTATTTAGAAGATGCTGATTGGCTTTTGAAAGCAGATGATGACACGTATGTCATAGTAGACAATTTGAGATGGCTTCTTTCAAAATATTACCCTGAAGAACCCATTTACTTTGGGAGAAAACTAAAACCCTATATGTAAAGCAGGGCTACATTGAGTGGAGGAGCAGAATATGTGCTAAGCAAAGAAGCCTTGAAGAGATTTGTTGATGCATTTGAAACAGACAAGTGTACATTTAGTTCCTCCATTGAAGACAGCACTGGGGAGATGCATGGAAATTATAAATGTGGAAGCAGGAGATTCCAGAGATACCACTGGAAAAGAAACTTTTCATCCCTTTATGCCAGAACATTTAATTAAAGGTTATCTACCCAGAACCTTTTGGCACTGGAATTACAACTGTTATCCTCCTGTAGAGGGTCCTGGTTCTTGTTCTGATCTTGCAGTTTCTTTTCACTACGTTGATTCTACAACTATGCGTGAGTTAGGATACCTCATTTATCATCGTCGTCTATATGATTATTTGTACAGATATCAACCTGCCTTACCTGAAAATACACTAAAGGAAATTAGTCAAGCAAACAAAAACGAAGGTACAAAAGTGAGGTTAGGAAACCCTTGAATGAAAGTAAATGATGAACAAAGGGAAAATGTCTAGCATTGCACTGAAGAAGGACTTTTGCATTTCTAACCTAGAACACTGGAATCCCAATGAGGAATTCTAAGTGAACATTCCATGTAGGAATCTTTCACATGAATGATTATAAACTTTAAATGAGCTTTAAATGAGCTGTGAAGTCTGTTAAAATGCGTTTTCGTACAGTAATATATAAATATATCTGTATATATGAAGAACTTGTGTTTTTAAAATGGTGACCAGGTAGAGGAACTAGAAAAGAGATTTTGTTGCCTATTTTTGACCATCTGTATTATTGTCACTGAGAAACTAAAACAATTAAATTTGCTAAAACTACAGTGCACCATGTTAGTAATAAACAGATCTGCCCCAAAGAAAATTAAAAAAAAGGGCAACAGACATGAACTGACATTTCACAGAAGAAAGTTTATAAATATATGAAATAAAATTTAATTTTATTCTGGAAAGTGCATATTAAGATCACAGGTGCCATTTTTTACCTACAATATTGGCAAAAAAGTTCAAAATGTAATTTGAGTATTGGCTAGTATACGGTGCAAGTGAAAATACTGCTGGAAGGGGTATAAATTCATACGACAATTTTGGAATCTAGTTTAACATTACTTGGTAAAGTAAATGTGCATATATCCCCAGGAGAAACTCATATCTTTACACTAGGAGACATTTACAAGAATGTTTATAGCAACATCATTTGTAATAGAAAACTGGAAACATCTCAAATAGCCACCAATAGAATAGATAAATAGTAGGACATTCATGCAATAAAATAGTATGGAGCCTGCAAATGTAAGAACTAGTTACATGAACATAAAAAGATCTTAACATTGGCAGGGTGTGATGGATCACAAGGTCAGGAGTTCAAGACCATCCTGGCCAAGATGATGAAACCTCGTCTCTACTAAAAATACAAAAATTAGCCGGGCATGGTGGCAGGCGCCCATAATCCCAGCTACTCGGGAGGCTGAGGCAGAGAATTGCTTGAACCCAGGAAGCGGAGGTTGCAGTGAGCCGAGCTCACACCACTGCACCCCAGCCTGGGCAACAGAGCGAAACTCCATCTCAAAAATAAAAATAAAAATAAAAAACTTAACATCTTTACTGGAATAAGCAAGTCACAGACGAATTCACACAGTATTCCATTTATATTAGAGATTCTAACATTTAGAGACATTAGAAAAGCAACGTAAGAAATCATTAATAAAATTCAGCATAGTTTTCTAGGGGCAAGAAAGTAGAGGGATGTAATCAAGGAGGAAGTCTCACACGGCATCTAATGTGCCATAACCAACCAGAATTGCTGGCATCCAAGCGTTTTTACTTTTTGGACGGTATATATTTTAATACACAAGTATGATGTATTTTATAATCAATAAAATAATAGAAATATGCTTACTATTGTATAAGTCTAGCTGAATTCTAGATCGTTTAAGTGACCATCATACCTAGAAGGTGATAGTAATAAATATTTAAAATAATACTTAGGTGTTTTTCCAAAAACATGTCAAATTCTACTTTAAAATTTTCTATTTATATTATCTGAAATTTTGTTTTAGTACATTTTACTTGAAATGGGAGATAATAGTCCAATGAGGGCATGGAAGTAACAAATAGTTAATGTTATAAAGAGTCTTCTGCCCTATCAGAGAATCTCAACATGAAAGAGAGGAAGATGTAGGTTGAAAAAGCATATTTTGAAACTATTATTGCTTTGATATATTTTCCTTCAAATAATATCAAAGGAGATTGTAAGGCTTAACACCACTTTCTCTCCAGATAGCCATAAAATTAGTCTTCTTACAGCACTAGGTGGAGGAAGCCAAGGGCCTGGTCACCAGTGTACCAAGTACTGGACTGGGGGCTGGGAGGACTTCAGTTACCAATAATGGTATCTCTAGGTCCACAACAAGGTAAACAGTTTGAAACATTGAGTTGCAGTTGATGCCACACAAAAATTTCTCTATTTGTTGTCTTGGTTGGGACACAGTGATTAGTACAAGTAATGTACCCGAATGGGGACTTAACAGTCATCCTCCCTTATGAAGCAGACTGCTGTAGAATTTCACGCAACTTGGGGCCACTCTGGTGAGCCTGTATATCTTCCTGACACGTTTGCACCTGGTGGTAATCTACCTGTGCCAAACCATTTCTGCCCTTATGGTGGTGTGGTATCTCATTTTTTTCAAATACTTTTCAGAGTCCTAACAGCTCTCAGATCTCAGAATGATGACCTCAATTGGAGCCTGCTTCCTGGAGAAATTGGCCAAGGTAGAGATTACGAGAACCAGAGTCATTCCAGGACAGATTAAACCTTAGCATTGTTGAAAGCAACTACCATTACATGACAGCTTGCCAAGATGGGTTGGGGAAGCCAGGATTTTGGTGATGAATAGTGTCTTCCAACATTTGAGAAACCTTAAGTACTATTGGGTTCTGTGTATTCATTCATTCAGAATTACCGAGTTGCCCATTAGATGTCAGGCACTGTGCTAGGGTCAAACTAAAAACTCCACCTGAAGATTAGCTAATATTTGCATGAAGCAGTGGATATTTTAATCTTTTTAGAGACAGGTCTTACTATGTTGCCCAGGCTAGACTTGAACTCCTAGGATCAAGTGATCCTCCTGCCTCAGACTCCTGAGTAGCTGGGACCACAGGTGCGTGCCACTGTACCCAGCAATTTTGCTCGATCTGTAGGGCTCCCAATCTGCTATGTCTGAGATCTTGTTGAATCTTATAGAGATAACTTAGAAAAGACGTAGCTCAGGAATTTCATTTTTTGGGCTTTCACATATATGCACTTTTCAGGGTTAGCCAAAAAGAGGTGGTGCTGCAGTATTCAGGATGTCTTATTTCTTGGAAGAAGAGTTTATGTGAGGTCATTATGGGATCTAAATCAGATAAGATATAGTTAGTATCTCTCTTCAGGTAGGATTCATTTAACAAATATTCTGGTTGCACATCCAGGTGCCAAAATGAATATAGCCATGAATGTAACATCCCTCATCTCTTGAAGATTATTTGTAGTGAGGAAAGGCAGACAATGATCAAATATATCAGTTTGTGTTAAAAATTATTAACCAGTATAAAGCAAGGTATTACTATATATGTTTGTCAAGGAAGATCCTTATGAAGTGTGGTTTGAACAGAGCTGAAAATATAGAGAGGGAGTGATAGTCATGTGGCTATCAGGGAGAAAACCATTCTTTTTTTTTTTTTTTAAGATGGAGTTTCGCTCTTGTTGCCCAGGCTGGAGTGCAATGGCGCGACCTCGGCTTACTGCAGCCTCCACCTCCCGGGTTCAAGCGATTCTTCTGCCTCAGCCTCCTGAGTAGCTAGGATTACAGGTGCCCACCACCATGCTGGCTAATTTTTTTGTATTTTTAGTAGAGATGGAGTTTCATCATGTTGGCCAGGCTTGTCTCGAACTCTTGACCTCAGGTGATCCACCAACCTCGGCCTTCCAAAGTGCTGGGATCACAGGTGTGAGCCATGATGCCCAGCCAGAGAAAACATTCTCGCAGAAGTAATAGTGCAAGTGCCCTAATTGAGGCAGCAAAAGGCTGGTAGAGTGAGGGAAGAGAAGAATGGTCAGAAATGGGTTCAAGAAGATATTTGGGGACATGATTTTGTAGGGCTTTATTGGGAATGGTAAAGATTTCAGGTTTTTTCATGGTATGACAAAATTTGGAAGCATATGAGCAGATAAGGTATAATCCTACATTTTATCACTGGTTACTATTTGAAAAATAAGCTGTTAGGGAACAATTCCAGAAGCAGGTGGACCAATTGGAATTAAAGCAAAGGCTTTAATATGGGTAAGAGAAAAAAGTATAGTTTCTTAGATTAGGGTAATAGCAGTGGAAACAAAGATTCCGAGTTTATTTTTAAGGTAAAGCTAACTTCGTCTGTTGCTGTATAGGTGAATATGAGAAAAAGAAATAAAGAACATCTCCAAAGTTTTTGACCTAAGAAAATGAAGAAGGAAAAAATAAGTCATCTAATAATGAAAGAAGACTGGGGAATGGGGTGGAAACTTTTGAGGGGGTAGGTATCAAAAATTTCATGCTGGATATGTTGAGTTTGAGAAAACAGACCACCAAGTGGACACACCAAGTAGTGATTTGAATATACATATTGGGAATTCAAGGTCAGTGTCAGGGCTAGAGATAGAATTGTGGGAAGTATAGGGCCGGGCGTGGTGGCCCAAGCCTGTAATCCAGCACTTTGGGAGGCCGAGGCAAGCGGATCATGAGGTCAGGAGATCGAGACCATCCTGGCTAACACGGTGAAACCCTGTCTCTACTAAAAATACAAAAGAATTAGCTGGGCATGGTGGTAGGCACCTGTAATCCCAGCTACTCGGGAGGCTGAGGCAGGAGAATGGCGTGAACCCAGGAGGTGGAGGTTGCAGTGAGCCGAGATCGTGCCACTGCACTCCAGCCTGGGAGACAGAGTGAGACTCCATCTCAAAAAAAAAAAAGTGTGGGAAGTATGGGTATATAAATAGTATTTAAAGCAGTGGGACCGGATGAGCTCACTGAGAGAATGATAGTTAAAAGGTCAGCAGGCTGAACCCCGGGGTTCTTCTATATTTAAGATAGACAAAATTAGCGTGACTCAATAAGACTGAGGGGACAACCTGTGAGGTAAGAGAGCTGAGAGAGGAGAAAAAAAAATTAAATTTGCATGGGGGGGCCTTGAAGCAAAGTTTCATAAAAGAGGGAGAAACATTAAGTGTCTGGCATACTACTGAAGGATTGACTAAGATGAAGACTGAATTGACCATTTCATTTGACAATTAAGTTCAGTAGTGGCTGAGCAGTATGGTTTGAATGGAGTGGTGAGGACAAAAGGGTGATTTGAGTGAACTGAGGAGGGAATAAGAAGGGAGATAGTGAAAACAGTTTTTTTGTTTGTTTGTGGAGATTGGGTCTTGCCCTATCACCCAGGCTGGAGTGTAGTGATGTGATTATGGCTCATTGCAGCCTCAACCTCCTGGGCTCAAGCAGTCCTCCCACCTCAGCCTCCCAAGTGGCTGGGACTAAAAGCATTCACCACCAAGCCTGACAATTTTTTAAAACTTTTTGTAGAGATGAGGTCCTTACTATGTTGCCCAGGCTGGTCTTGAACTCCTGGACTCAAGTTATCCTCCTGCCTTGGCCTCCCAAAGTGTGAGGATTACAGGTGTGAGCCACTGTGCCCATCCCAGAAATGGTCTTTAGAAGAGTACTGTAGTATGTCAGCAAGGCGATGGAACAGGAAGACCAAGACCCTTCTTCTGTCATGGATAAATGAATTTAACAATGATAGACCAAATCCCTCTGTGAGAAATCCAGAAACCGGTTACAGGTTGCTTTACCACAAGTGAGACTAAAATCAACGGCATCAAAGCCAGGTAGGAAAATTCAACTACCTGTCGCTTGCCAGAGCCTCCCAGCCCCCAACCCCTGCACAGCGTGGAGCAATTGGGAGGAAACCTTCAAACTTCTATCTGCAGAGGAAAAAGACTAGAACATATATCCAACATTCTAAGTTTTAGGGACCTGGCTGAGGGACCGCTTTCTGTATTTTTGCCTGAATCTGAGCACAGCAAGGGGGCACCAGCTGTAAGCTCTGGGAACACACTGCTCCGGAGTCTGCAGTACCACAGACAGACACTAGGCGAAGCTCCAGTACCATGACTTGCTATAGCACCCAAGACGCCACAGTATTGCAGGGGAACTTCTGATTAGAAACCCTGCAAACCTCTTCAAGTAGAATTCACACACAAGCCTAAAGAGGATGCATTCCCAGAAAAGGCTTAAGAAGCCTCCAGAATCTCTAGCCAGGCTGAATGGAGAAAGTCTTTGATATAGAAAACAAGATCAGAAAATCTGGGTGAGATGGCTGATTCTTCAATACTAAAATCCCAACAAAAATTAATGAGACATAACAAAGAAATGGAAACATGGCACATTTAAGAAACCAATTAAATTTCCAGAAACCAACTTGAAATAAATGGAGGTAAATGAGGTGCCAGAGAATTAACAAATACCATTATAAGAATGCTTAATTAAAATAGAGCATAGATAGCTAAACAAAACCAAGAAAATCATGCATAAACAGATTGAGAATATCATCAAAGAGAAACTGTAAAGAAGTACCAAACAAATTCTGCAACTGAAGAATACAATAACTGAATTGATAAAAAAAAAAAAAAATCTCTAGAGGGATTGAACAGACTTGGAAAGGCCGAAGAAATAGTGAACTCAAAGACAGGACTTTCAAAATTGCTGAGGCACAGGAGAATGAAAAAATATAAAGGGAGCCTAAGGGGCTTATGGGACACCATCAAACAGAACAACATTATGGGAGTTTCAGAAGAAAAATAGAGAAAAAGGCACAGACCTATTAGAAGAAATAACAGCAAAAAATTTCCTAGATATGAGAGAAATTGACATATAAAAGAAACTAAGAAAATGCCAGCAAAGATAAATCTCAAGAGACCACACAAAGACACATTATAATAAACTATCAAAAACAGAGTCATGAAAGCAGCAAGAGAAAAGCACTCATCATGTACAAGAGGGCTCCTAATCAATTATTAGCATGTTTCTCAGCAGAAACCTTGCAGACTAGAAGGGAATGGGATGATACATTCAAAGTATAGAAGTTCCTGATAAGGTAAATGCATAGAAATATATACAGTCCTATAATATTGTAATGTAGGTGTGTAAATTACATTTAATTCTAGCATTGAATTTATTTATTTATTTTTAAAGTTGGGGTCTAGCTTTGTTGCCCAAGCTGGTCTTGAACTTTTGGGCTCAAGTAATCCTCCTGCCTTACCCTCTGAGTAGTTGGGGCTACAGGTGTGCACCACCATGCCCAGGTACCAGTTTTGAATACAAAAAACAGAAGTGTAAAAAGTAATTATATATCTGAGTAATGGATACTCATTATAAAAAGAGAAAATTGTGTTAATTACAAAGTGGAGGGGGGCAGAGATGTAAAGGAGTAGAGTTTTTATACATGAATGAAGTTGTTAGCTGTTTCAAATAGGATGTTACAATGTTTAGGTGTTTTATGTAATTGCAGTGGTAACCACAGAGAAAATACCTACAAAATATACACAAAGGGAAATGAGAAGGGAATCAAAGCATGTCACTACAAAAAAAAACAAACAAACAAAAAACAAAAAACACAACAAAACAAAAAAGACAGCAGTGGAAGAAAGTAGAGACAAAAAAGCTACGTGACATACAGAAAACAACAAAATGGCAATAGTGAGTTCTTTCCTATCAGCAATTACTTTAAAGGTAGATGTGATGAACACTAATTAAAAGACAGATTGGCTGAGTGGATTTAAAAAAAAACAAAACAAGATCCAACTGTATGCTTTTTACAAAAGACTTACCTTAGACTTAGGGACACACAAAGTCTAAACGTGAAGGGATGGAAAACAGTTCCATGTAAATGGGAAGCTAAAAGCGGGGGTGGCCATATGTAATATTAGACAAGGTAGTCTAGATAGTCTTTAAGTAGAAACTCAGGAGAACAAAAAAGGATGTTATGTAATGATAAGGGGTCCATTCATCAGGAACATAAGACAACTATAAATATATGCACATCTAATGTTAGAACTCCCAAATAGGTGAAGCATTGACAGGACTGAAAGAAGAAATTAACAACAACACAATAATAGCAGGAGACATAATACTTCTCTTTCATTTATGGCCAGAACAACCATACAGAAGATCGACAAGGAAACAGAAGACATGAACACAGTATAGATCAGTTGGCTGTAACTGATGTCCACTCAACAACAGCAGAATACACATTCTTAAGTACTCGTGGAGGCTTCTCCAAGATAGACCACATGTTAGGCTGTAAAACAAATCTTAACAAATATAAGGAGATTGAAATCATACAAAGTATCTTCTCCAATCACAATGAAATAAAACAAGAAATCAATAGCAGAAGGAAAACAAGAAAGTCCACGAATTTGTGGGAACTAAGCAGTGCCCTCTTAATGAATGGGTCAGAGAAGAAAACACAAGTGAATTTAGATAATATCTGGAAACTAATGAAAGCAAAAATGCAACATATCACACTTATGGAATGCAGTGAAAGTAGAAGTGAGGGAGAGGTTTATAGTGGTAAACACCTACATTAAAAAAGAAGAAAGATCTCAAATCAACAACCTAATCTCATATCTCAAAGAACTAGAAAAGAACAACAAACTAAACCCTAAGTTATCAGAAGGATTAGAGCATAGGTAAATGAATTAGAGAATAGAAATACCATAGAGAAACATCAAGGAAACCAAAAGTTGTTTTTGTTGAAAAGATCAATGAAATTGTCTAACCCTTAGCTAGACCAACTGAGAAAATAAGAGAGAAGACTGAAATAAGTAAAATTAGAAAGCCAGGTGCAGTGGCTCATACCAGTAATCCTAGCACTTTGGGAGGCCAAGGTGGGAGGATTGCTTGAGCCTAGGAGTTCAAGACCAGCCTGGGCAACATAGCGAAACCCTATCTCTAAAAAAGAAGTAAAATAAAAAACTTTAGAAACAAATGAGAAGCTGGAAATCATCATTCTCGGCAAACTGTCGCAAGGACAAAAAACCAAATACCGCATGTTCTCACTCATAGGTAGGTGGGACTTGAACAATGAGAACACTTGGACACAGGAAGGGGAACATCACACACTGGGGCCTGTTGTGGGGTGGGAGGAGGGGGGAGGGATAGCATTAGAAGATATACCTAATGTAAATGACGAGTTAAAAGGTGCAGCACACCAACATGGCACATGTATACATATGTAACCTGCATGTTGTGCACATGTACCCTAGAACTTAAAGTATAATAAAAAATAGAAAAAAAAAGAAATGAATGAGAGGACATTATAACCATTGTCACAGAAATAAGGATTATGAGACTGTTGTGAACAACTATGCCAACAAATTGGATCATGTAAAAGAAATGGATAAATTCCTAGAGGAATACCACCTACAAAGACTGAATCATGAAGAAATAAAGAATATGAATAAACATAATATGAGTAAATAAATTGAAGCAGTAATCAAAACCTTCCCAGTGAAGAAAAGCCCAGGACCTGATGGTTTCACAAAAAAATTCCACCAAACATTTAAAGAACTAATACCAATTCTTTTCAAACTCTTCCAAAGAATTGAAGAGGAGGGAACAATCCCAAACTGAGTCTTTGAGGGCAGCAGTAAGCTGATAACAAAACCAGAATAAAACACAAGAGACTGGGCATGGTGGCTCACATCTGTAATTCTAGCACTTTGGGAGACCAAAGCAGGTGGGTCTCTTCAGCCCAGGAGTTTAAGACCAGACTGGGCAACATGGTGAAACTCCGTCTCTACTAAAACAAAAAAAAATCAGCCAGGTGTGATGTGCATTTGGAGCTACTCAGGAGGTTGAGGTGGGAGAATCACCTGAGCCCGAGAAGTCGAGGCTGCAGTGTGCTGAGCTGAGATTGTGCCACTGCACTGCAGCCTGGGCAACAGGAATGAGATACTCTCTCAAAAACAAAACAAAACAAAACACACAAACACAAAAAAAGAAAGAAAAAGAAAAACCTATGGACCAATAATGGACTGATATTGCTGATGAATATAGACGCAACAAAATAGGTATATAAGGAACTTACCTCAATATAATAAAGGTCATATAAGACAAGCCCATACTAGCATCACATTCAATGGAGAAAGACTGAAAGCTTTTCCTCTAAGATTAAGAATAAAGCAAGGATTTGCACTCTCACCACTAATATTTAACATGGGAAGTCTGGCAAGAACTACTTGGCAAGAAAAAGAAGTATAAGACATCCAAACTGGAAAAGAAGTAAAATTATCTCTATTTGCTAACAATATGATCTCATATTTAGAAAATTCTAAAGATTCCACAAAAATTACAATAAACACTTTCAAAAAAATTGCAGAATACAAAGTCAACACATAAAAATCATTTGTGTTTTTATGCACTAACATTGACCAGAAAAGGAAATTACAAAAACGCATACTATATACTATAACATAAGAAAGGGCAAAACACTTAGGACATGAAAGACTTGTACACTGAAAACTACAAAGCATTGCTAAAAGAAATCAAAGAAGACACAGATAAATGTAAGACATCCCATGTTCATGGCTTGGAAGCCTTAATATTGTTAAAATATTCATACTACCCAAAGTAATCTAAGATTCTATGCAATATCTATGAAAATCCCAATGCATTCTTTAGAGAAAAGAGAAAAAAATTCTAAATTGCTTATGGAACCTCCAGGGATGCCAAATAGTCAAAACAATCTTGAAAAAGGACAGAGTAGGAGGCCTCACACTTACTGATTTCAAAACATACCACAAAAAAAACTGCAATTAAGATGATGTGATAATGGCATAAAAGTAGCTATATAGACCAATGGAACAGAATGGAGAGCCCAGAAATAAGCTTTTGTATGTATGGTCAAATAAACTTTGGCAGTATTCCTAGACCACACAATAGGGAAAGGTGTCTCTTTAGTAAAGGGTGTTGGGATAACTGGATGCAAAAGCTTGACATTGAATCCTTACCCTACCCCACAAAAATTAAGTTAAAAAGGATGGATCAAAGACCTAACTCTAAGCCTTAAAACTATAAAACTCCTGGAGAAGATATGGGAGGAAGGCTTCAGGACATTGGATTTGGCGATGATATTTTGGATATGACACCAAAAACACTAGGCAAGAAAAGCAGTAATTGATAATGGGACTACATTACACTTAAGTGCTTTAGCACACTAAAGGAAACAGTGAAAAGAAAACCTATAGAATGGGAGAAAATAACTGCAAATTATGTACCTGATAAGGGGTTAATATCCAGAACATATAAGGAACTTCTACAACTCAACAACAAAAACTTAAGTTAAAAATGGGCAAAGGATCAAAATAGACATTTTTCCAGAGATATGTGAATGGCCAATAAATGCACAGGACAATGCCCAGCATCACCAATCATTAAAGAAATGGAAATCAAGACCACAATGAGATATTATCTCACACCTACCAGTATGGCCACTGTCAAAAAAACAGAAAATAACACATGTCGGAGAGGATATGGAGAAGTTGGAACACTTGTGTATTGGTGGTGGTCATGTAAAATGGCACAGCCACTGTGGAAAACCATATGGCGGTTCCTCAAAAAATTAAAAATAGAAAAACCATGTGATCTAGCAATCTCATTTCTGGGTATACATGCAGAATAATTGAAAGCAAGGTCTCTAAATGATACTTGCACACTTATGTTTATTGTGGCATTATTCATAATAGCCAAGAGGTGCAAGCAACCCAAATGTCCATCAACAGATGAATGGATAAGGAAAGTGTGGTATATTTATACAATGGAATACTATGCAGCCTTAAGGAATTCTGTCATATGCTACAACATGAATGATCCTCAAGGACATGATGTTGAGTGAAATAAACCATTCATAAAAGGACAAATACTATATGATTCCACTCATATGGTGTATTTAGAGTGGTCAGAAATTATAGAAACAGAGTGCAGAAAGGTAGTTTTTAAGGGCTGGAGGTTGGGGGAAGAGGAATTAGTGTTTGGGGGTATAAAGTTTCAGTTTTGCAAGATGAAAGCATCCTAGATATCTGTTGCACAATAATGTGAATATATTTAACACTACTGAAATGTAATCATTTTTAAGTAAAAAATGATTAAGATTGCTGTAGTTTGGTTATTTTATTTTATTTTATTTTATTTTATTTGAGATGGAGTCTCACTGTGTCACCAGGCTGGAGGGCAATGGCATGATCTCAGCTCACTGCAACTTCTGCCTCCCGGGTTCAAGTGATTCTTCTGCCTCAGCCTCCCAAGTAGCTGGGACTACAGGTGTGCACCACCATGCCCAGCTAATTTTTGTATTTTTAGTAGAGACAGGGTTTCACCATGTTGTCCAGGATGGTCTCGATCTCTTGACCTCATGATCCACCCACCTTGGCTTCCCAAAGTGCTGGGATTGCAGGCATGACCCACTGCACCTGGCCTATAGTTTGGTTATTTGTCTGTAACCAAATCTCATGTTGAAATGTTGGAGGTGGGGCCTGGTGGGAGGTGTTTGGATTATCAGGTGGATCCCCTATGAATGACTCGGGCCATCCCCCTGGTGATAAGTGAGCACTTGCTCTGAGTTTGCATGAGATCTGGCCATTTAAAAGTATGTGGCACCTCTCCCACCTCTCTCTCTCTCTCTTGCTCTTGCTTTCAACATGTGATGTGCAAGCTCCCACTTCACCTTCTACCACGAGTAAAAGCTCCCTGAGGCCTCCCCAGAAGATGAGCAATGTTGATGCCATGCTTGTATGGCCTGCACAACCATGGGCCAGTGAAACCTCTTTATAAATTACCCAGTCTTGGATATTTCTTTATAGCAATGCAAGAATGGCCTAATATAGAAAATTGGTGCTGAGGAGTGGAGCATTGCTATAAAGATGCCTGAAAATGTGGAACTGACTTTGGAGCTGGGTAACAGGCAGACGCTGGAAGAGTTTGGAGGGCAGAGAAGAAGATAGGAAGATAAGAGAATATTTGGAAATTTTGCAGCCTAGCTATGTGGCAAAGAGAGTAAAAGGTTTTTCGAGAGAGAAATTGAAGCAGGCTGTGGAGCAATATCTTGCTAGAGATATTTGCATAACTAAAAGGGAGCCAAGTGCTGATATCAAAGAGAGTGGGAAAAAGACCTCAAAGCCATTTCAGAGACCTTCATGGCAGCACCTCCATCACAGGCCCAGAGGCCTAGGAGGGAAGAATGGTTTCATGGGCCAGGTCCAGGGCCCCATTGCCCTGCACAGCCTTAGGACACTGTTCCCTACATTCTGGCCACTCTGGCTCAAGCCTTGGCTCAAAAGACCCCAGATACTGCTCATGCCACCATTCTGGAGAGTGAAAGCCACTGTAAGCCTTGGTGCCTTCCACATGGTGTTAAGCCTGTAGGGTGAAAGAGTGAATGAGGTGTGCCAGCCTTCATCTGTATTTCAGAGGATATATGAAAAAGCCTGGGTGCCCAGGCAGAAGCCTGCTACAGGGGCAGAGCCCTCAAAAAGAACCTCTGCTAGGGCAGTGCTGAGGGGAAATGTGTAGTTGGAGCCCACACACAGAGTCCTCACTGAGGCACTGCCTAGTGGAGGGGACCACTGTCCTCAAGAACCCAGAGTGGTAGATCCACTGGCAGCTTGCACCCTGTGCCTGGAAAAGCTGCATGCACTCAACAGCCTGTGAGATCAGCTGTGGGGCAGAACCCACAAAGTCACAGGGGCAGAGCTGCTCAAGGCTTTGGGAGCCCAACCCTCATATCAGTGTGCCCTGGATATGGGACATGAAGTCAAAGGAGATTATTTCAAAGCTTTAAGAATTAATGCAGGGTTTCTAACTTCCATGGGGCCTGTAGCCCCTTTCTTTTGGCCGATTTCTCCCTTTTGAGATGGAAATGATTACCCAATGCTGGTCCTCCCATTGTATCTTGAAACTAAATAACTTGTTTGATTTTACAAGCTGGCTCATAGGTGGACAAGACTTGGCTTGTCTTATTTGAGATTTTGGACTTTTGAGGTAATGCTGGAACAAGTTAAGACTTTAAGAGACTATTGGGAAAGCATAATCGTATTATGCAATATTAGGAGGACATGAGAAGGGGGATGCAGAGATGGAATGATATAGTTTGGACATTTGTCCCCACTCAAATCTCATGTTGAAATATAATCCCCAATCTTCAAGGTGGCCTTGGTGGGATGTGTTTGGGTCATGGGGGCAGATCCCTCATGAATGACTTAGGCCATCCCCTTGGTGATAAGTGAGCTCTTGATCTGAGTTAATACAAGATCTGGTCATTTAAAAGTGTGTGGCACCTCTCCCCACAATCTTGCCCCTGCTTTCACCGCATGACATGCAAGCTCCCACTTTGCCTTCCACCATGAATAAAAGTTCCCTGAGGCCTCCCCAGAAGCCAGATGATGTCAGCACCATGCTTATACAGCCTGCAAACTGTGAGCCAATTAAACCTCTTTTCTTTATAAATTACCCAGTCTCAGGTATTTCTTTCTTTTTTTTTTTTTTTTTTTTTTTTTTTCCTGAGATGGAGTCTCGCACTGTCACCCAGGCTGGAGTGCAGTGGCACAATCTCAGCTCACTGTAAGTTCCGCCTCCTGGGTTCACACTATTCTCCTGCCTCAGCCTCCCAAAGTAGCTGGGACCACAGGCGCCCGCCACCACGCCCAGCTAATTTTTTTGGTATTCTTAGTAGAGACGGGGTTTCATTGTGTTAGCCAGGATGGTCTCGATCTCCTGACCTCGTGATCCACCCACCTTGGCCTCCCAAAGTGCTGGGATTATAGGCGTGAGCCACCATGCCCAGCCCGGTATTTCTGTATAGTAATGCAAGAATGGCCCAATACAAAGATGGTAAATACAACATTGTGTGTTTTTTTAACCACAATAATAATAGTAATAAGAGTATTGTTCTAAGGAAGAGCAGAGAAGCTGGACATGGTGGCATGCACCTGTAATCCATGCTACTCAGGAGGCTGAGGCAGAAGGATTGCTTGAGCCTAGGAGTTCAAGTCCTGCCTGGGCAATATAGCAAGACTCTATCTAATTTTTTAAAAATAATAAACAGGTAAAGAAGAGGAGAGAAATGGGAAAGTAGCTGTCAGAGAATGTTATTATTAATCAATGGATGTTTGGGATTTGCACAAGCCAAGTGTCATGATGATAGATTCAGAATGGTCAAACCACACTTGAAAGGCCATCTTCCACTTCTTACCTTTCCTGGTGGAAAGTTGAAACCCCAGCTGGGCGCATTGGCTCGCGCCTGTAATCCCAGCACTTTGGGAGGCTGAGGCAGGTGGATCACCAGGTCAGGAGATTGAGACCATCCTGGCTAACACGGTGAAACCCTATCTCTACTAAAAAATGCAAAAAATTAGCCAGGTGTGGCAGCGGGCACCTGTGGTCCCAGCTACTTGGGAGGCTGAGGCAGGAGAATGGTGTGAACCTGGGAGGTGGAGCTTGCAGTGAGCCAAGATCGCGCCACTACACTCCAGCCTGGGAGACAGAGCGAGACTCTGTCTCAAAAACAAAAGAAAGTTGAAACCCCAAGAACTACACATTTTTACAAAATATTCACCCTCCAGTGAACTACTATTTGTGGAGAGTAGTGGGAGTGTAGAAAGGTATGGAATAGTGACTATGTTGAGGCCTCCAGAGTCCTCAGTGGAAAACAGAATTTCATGTTTTTCTGACATCATAAGCCTATGTCCCCATATGGGACTGGGAGGACATCATGGACTTTTACCACAACTTGGTTATGTTTACTTACAGGGAGCCTCTGTTTCTAAGAAGGCAAAAACTTTGCAAGGAACAAATGATCTCATAATAATTCAAACGTCTTCCAAATTGCAGTCACACTTATGCTATGGAGAAGTTTAGTTGCCTCCATATATGAAAATACTTCTCACATATATTTATTTATTAAGGATCTTTTGTGGGTTAGTAGATGGAATAGAAACCCATTCCTTTTAGGGCAATCATGTAGACAATTCTAATCTCATAACTCTACTGCAAATGTGGAGAATCGTTGACACTATGAACTTGATGACATCTTAGATCCAAAGTTTCATCTCTTTTAGAAATGAACCAGAGCAACAAGAAATGGGTAAAACACACCGTGTATTAGTTTCCTAGTGCTGTCATAACAAAGTACCACAAAACAATAGATACTCATTGTCTCTTCAGTTCTGGGACCTAGAAGTTCAAAATCAAGGTGTAAACAGGGCTATGCTTCCTCTTGAAACTGCAGAGATGTCCTTCCTTGCCTCTTCCCAGCTTTTGGTGGTTTACTGGCAATTTTTGGTGTGCCTTGGTTTGCAGTTGCATAACTCCAGTCTCTGCCTTAGTCATAACATGGCATTCTCCATGTGTGTCTCTGACCTCCCGTGCCTGTCTTCTTATAAGGATACCATTAAGATTGGATCAGGAGCCTACTCTACTCCAATATGACCGCATATTAACCAGTTACACCTGCAATGACCCTAATTCCAGATGAGGTCACATTCTGAGGTACTAGGAGTTAGGACTTCAACATATTTTTTACTTACATGGGAACACGATTCAACCCATAACACCAAGCAAAACTGGATACAGATGAAGATCCTCAAATGTAAAAATAGTTAAGTAGTGTTAGGTGGTGTGAATGGACTGTTGGCATAGTGGGCTGGGGACGGATCGTAGCAGCTCCCGGAAAGAGCCAACGAGGATATATGATCTGAAGTATTTGCCTTTGCAGTGGTAGATAAGGATACTAGAGAAAAAAGATGTGAGAAAGAGCAGTCAAACATGGCATGAGACAAAATTAACCAGAAAAACATGGTATAGAGAAGATGAAAAGTACCAAATACATATCACTCATCGACTCAGAAAAAAGAGGCCTCTGCTCTGGGTTCCACACTTCAGAGGGACCCATATATCACAAGCACACACATTTATTAAAGAACACATAGGCAGCTCTGTCACTTTTGGATTTAATGCTCCGTGTCAGCACAGCACAACTAATCTAAACTTTTTGTGAATAACGCCAGGGAAATGCTTCTCCAAATCCTTTGCCCAATATCTTTAAAACAATAGGTAACTCTGCCCAACTATTATTCAGATTTATGGGTTGACTGCTACTGACACTGCTGCACAGATCAGTGAGGATTGGAGTGTCAGAAGTTTCAGGAAACAGAAATGACAAATTAATCTGTCATATTTTTCCTCTCAACACGAAAGCAAAAAATTTTTGCATAATAAAGTATTGTTTTCCACTAAGTGCCTCACTGATTTTATTGCTTCTCTTTGTGTTCAAAGTGTACCCCTTTGTGGAAATTTGGGACACTTTGAATAAAATGTTTCTTTTGTAATCCTTTAGATTATTACCTTCAATGGAACAGAAATTAATTGAAAATAGTATGACATTTGTTGATATTGTGATTGTGTTAAAATGAAGACATAAAATTCATGGAATAAATATAATTTATAAAATATATTTGTTTCTTTTATTTATTTGTTTCTTTTATTGCTTATCCATGAACAGAACACCTAGACATGTGCAGTAATAATTAAATTTAGTTCTCTTTTATATTGACTGCATTTCAATCATATAAAGATCATCTCTGCATATTTTTATGTTGTTTTAAAGGTATTTTGGTCAAAATAAGACAGCAGAATGTATTTTATTCAATAGTTCCAAAACTTGACTTATACCTTTTAAATTTAGACAAATGGCTGTTGGGGTTTCTGTTTTACTCTTGCCCCAGGCCCTGCAAACATTCGGGGCTGCCAAACGTTTTACCATGAATTGAAATCAATAGACAATGAAGCAATTGTTGATTTTGTGAAAGAACACAATGCAAGAATACAATATAGATGGTCAGATAATCAAAGGAAATAAAATACTAAATGACAGACTGAAGGAGGAAATAAAAGAAGGAAAACCATCACAGAAATGAAAATAATTTTGAAAGAACAAGTGAGACCATTTTTCTGAGGTAGGGAGTCTTACTACTTTCCCCAGGCTGGTTTTGAACGTCTGGGCTCAGGCAATCCTCCAACCTCAGCCTCCTGAGGAGTTAGGATTACGGGCACACACCACTGTGTCTAGCTTACTTTTTAAAAAGGTTTAAGAAATATTGTTTAAATGCATTCATCAAACAATGAACATTTGAGTTGATTTTTTAGCTATTATGAATAATGCTGCTGTGAACATTTGTATATGAGTTTTTTGCATGATGTGTGTTTTCATTTCTCTCTTGAATTGAAACCTAGGAGTAGAATTTCTGGATCATAGGGTAACTCTATGTTTAACTTCTTAAGAAACTGCCAGACTATTTTTCAAAATAACTGCACCATTCTATATCGGCCAGGTGTGTATGAGGGTTCCAGTTTTTCCACACCCTTGCCAGTGTTCCTTATTTATCCTCTTTTTAATTCTAGCCATCCTGGCCAGTACCACACTGTCTTGAATACTGTTGCCTTGTGTAAATTTTGAAATCAGGGAATGTGGGTCTTCCTACTTTGTTCTTTTTCAAGATTGTGGGCACCTTGCAATTCCTTATCAATTTTAAAATCAGCTTGTCAGTTTTGCAAAGAAGTTAACTGGGATGCTGATGGAGATTTGATTGAATCTGTAGGTCAGTTTGGAGAGTGTTGCTATCTTAACAATGGTAAGTCTTTTGATCCATGAACATGTGATGTTTTTACAGTTATTTAGATCTTCTTCAACTTCTTTCAACAATGGTTTACAGTTTTCAGAGTATAAGTTTTGCAGTTTTTGTTACATTTATTCCTAAGTATTTCATTCTTTCTTATGCTATTGTAAAAGGAATTGTTTTCTTATATTCACTTTTGAGTTTTTTATTGCAAGTATCTAGAAATAGAATTGAAAGTTATATATTGACATTGTATTCTGCAACCTTGCTGTACTTGTTTCATAGTTTATAAGAGGTTTTAGTGGATTCCCTAGGATTCTCTACATACAAAATCATGTCATCTGTGAATAGAGATAGTTTAACTTTCTTTCTAATCTGGAAGCCTCTTGTTTTTTTCTCTTGCCTAATTGGCCTGGTTAGGGCCTCCAATACAGTGTTGGATAGAAATGGCGAGAGTGGACATCCTCGTTTTGTTCCTAATCTTAGGAGAAAAGCATCTAGTTTTTTACCATGAAGTATGATGTTTTCTGTGGGTTTTTATGGATGTCATTTATCAGGTTGAAGATGTTCTCTTCAATTTCTAGTTTGTTGAGTATTTTCATCATGAAAGGAGGCTGGATGTTTTCTCAGATGTTTTTGCTGCATCTGTTCAGATAATCATGTGATTTTTCCTTTTTATTCTATTGATGTGTTATATTACATAGATTGACGTTCAGATGTTAAACCAACCTTGCCTTCCTGGGATGAATCCTACCAGGTCATGGTCTATAGTTCTTTTTATATGTTGCTGCATTCAGTTTGCTTGTATTTTTTGAAGGCTTTTGCATCCATCTTTGTAAGAATTATTGGTCTGTGCCTTTCTTTTCTTGTAATGTCTTTGTCTGGTTTTGGTATCAGGGTAATATTGGCCTTATAAGACCTATTGGGAACTATTTCCTTGTCTTCTGTACTTTGGAGAGTTTGTGAAGAATTGTTACTAATTTTTTTATTCATTCACATTTAGTGTTGTTATTGATATAGTTGGATTACATTGCCATTTTGCTTTTCATTTTCTATGTCTCATATCTTTATTTTGCTATTTCTTCATTACTGCTTTCTTTTGCCTTTGGTGAATATTTTTAATGAAACATTTTAATTTTCTTAATTATTTTTCTCTATTTTAAAAAGTTTTTTTAGTAGTTGATCTAGGCTATACCTTATATACCTTGACTTATCAGAATCAGCTTCTGATTTATAATTGCTTAATTTCAGTGGTGTATAAAAATGTTAATCCTATATAGCTCTATTCCCCTCTTCCCCTACGTTTCTATCTGTAATTATTTCCTTAACTCAATACAACTTTGCTCCCATCCACCTCCTTTGTGCTGTGTAATATACTTGCCAGTATTCCAAACTGGACATGTCAAATAATGTACAAACTCTGGGTACTGATCTCCTACCTCCTCCAGGGTTTGTTATTACTCTTTGATTTTCCATTTGTTTAGTGACTTGCTGAAAGTCAGTAAACTATTTTGCCTCCCACAGTGTTAAGCATCTGCACCTTGCTTTTTAATGTTTAAATGTATCCTGCAGACATGCTGTATCTGTATATAATTAACTTCCTTGATCTTATTTATGACTCCATATTATCTCATTTTATGTGTGTGACATGATTTATTTAATGTTTCCTCTTCAATGTATTTAAGTTTTTCCCAGTGTTTTGCTATGATAAATAATGCCAAGGAGAATAACTTTATACATGTCATTTTACACGTGTGACTATATATATTTATGAGACATAATCCTAGAAATGGATTGGCTGAGTAAATTTGTAGTTTTGACAGATAACAAAATTGCCAAAATGATCTTGAAGAGATTGTACCAGTTCATTTTCCCACTAGCAAGATATGAGAGTGTTTCCCCTTACCCTTACCAACATAGGATTTTGTCAAGCATTTTGATTTTTGCCAACTAATTAGATCAAAAGTAGCATCAGTTTGTAGTTTTAATTCACATTTCTTATATTACGAGGGTTATTAAGTATCTTTTTATTTATTTAAAAGCCATGTGTATTTCCTTTTCTGTGTCAGTTGTCTGTTACTCATTTTTTTCATAGGGTTGTTGGTCTTTTTCTTATCAATTTATATTCTCTCCTTTATAAATTCAGATGATCAGTTACCTTATATTTGATACAAGCAGCAAAGATTTTCCCAGTTTGTCATTTATCTTTGTCCACAATGTTTGAGCCATGGAGAATGTGTGTGTGTGTAAGTAAACTTACTAATCTCTTAAGGCTTCTATATTTCCACTCAGAGGTTTTCTTTTTAAAATTTTCCCATAATTTTTAAAATCCTTTTTTATGTTTACTATTTAAATATTTGATCTATCCATAATTCATTTTCGTATAATATGTGAAGTATGGATATAATTTATTTTTTCAGCTAGCTCTTCATTTCCTACAATGCCATTTATTGAATAATCCTTATTTTGCCCTATTGATTTGAAATTTTGCCATTTTCATACACTAACTTTTTTCAGTGGATATGTACATATTTATCAACCTCCTATTCTACTCCTTTGATATCTATATTTATTCATATGCAATTACCACATTGTTTTAATTATTATAGCTTTAGAATATGTTTTACTATATAATCGGGTTAATCCCCCTTTATTATTCTTGCCTTTAAGGTTTATGTCTATTATTGCTTATTCATTATATTAGTTATTTATTGCTGTATAACAATTTTCCCTCCAAATGTAATCGCTTAAATAATAAACATTTATTTTCTCATCATTTTTGTATGTCAGGAGTTTAGGAGTCACTTTCCAGGGTAGTTTTGGCTCAGGGTGTCTCATTAGATTGTAGAAAAGATATCAGCTGGGGATGGAGTCATCCAAAGACTTGACTGGTGCTGGAGGATCTACTTCCAAGTTAGTTTTAGCAAGAGGCTTCTGTTCCTCACTTGTTGTTCCTCACTCAGTAACTCACTACATGGACCTCTCCATAGAGCTTTTTGAATATTCTGACATTACAACTGACTTCTCCCTGCACAAATGATCCAAGAGAGAGAAAGCAAGGAGAAGGACACATAATTTTTATGATTTAATGTCAGAAATGGCACACTGTCACTTTATCATATTCATTAGAAGTAAGCTAGTCACACTTTAGGGAGAAGGGAATTAAACTGTACTTCCTAAGGAATTTTTAGACATTTTAAAATCACCATATTCATTTTTCTGTATAAACTTTAGAATTTATCTACTTTCAAAAAATAAAACCAATCTTCTTGATATTTTCATTAGGATCTATTTAGATTTGTAGGCCAACTTTGAGAGAACTGATATTTTTATATCAGTCTTCCTTAATCAAGAATATAATAGACTTTTCCATTTGTTCAAGTTTTATGTTCCTTAACACCTTTTTTCTTTCATATAGATCTTATGTGTCTTTTATTAGATTTATTTCTGGATTTTTAAAAAATTATTTTATTGCTATTGAAAGTAAAATATTTTCAACATAGTATTGGAAGTTCTGGCCAGGGCAATTAGGCAGGAGAAGGAAATAAAGGGTATTCAATTAGGAAAAGAGGAAGTCAAATTGTCCCTGTTTGCAGACGACATGATTGTATATCTAGAAAACCCCATTGTCTCAGCCCAAAATCTCCTTAAGCTGATAAGCAACTTCAGCAAAGTCTCAGGATACAAAATCAATGTACAAAAATCACAAGCATTCTTATACACTAACAACAGACAAACAGAGAGCCAAATCATGAGTGAACTCCCATTCACAATTGCTTCAAAGAGAATAAAATACCTAGGAATCCAACTTACAAGGGACGTGAAGGACCTCTTCAAGGAGAACTACAAACCACTGCTCAAGGAAATAAAAGAGGATACAAACAAATGGAAGAACATCCCATGCTCATGGGTGGAAGAATCAATACCGTGAAAATGGCCATACTGCCCAAGGTAATTTACAGATTCAATGCCATCCCCATCAAGCTACCAATGACTTTCTTCACAGAATTGGAAAAAACTACTTTAAAGTTCATATGGAACCAAAAAAGAGCCCGCATCGCCAAGTCAATCCTAAGCCAAAAGAACAAAGCTGGAGGCCTCACACTACCTGACTTCAAACTATTCTACAAGGCTACAGTAACCAAAACAGCATGGTACTGGTACCAAAACAGAGATATAGATCAATGGAACAGAACAGAGCCCTCAGAAATAATGCCGCATATCTACAACTATGTGATCTTTGACAAACCTGAGAAAAACAAGCAATGGGGAAAGGATTCCCTATTTAATAAATGGTGCTGGGAAAACTGGCTAGCCATATGTAGAAAGCTGAAACTGGATCCCTTCCTTACACCTTATACAAAAATCAATTCAAGATGGATTAAAGACTTAACCGTTAGACCTAAAACCATAAAAACCCTAGAAGAAAACCTGGGCATTACCATTCAGGACATAGGCATGGGCAAGGACTTCATGTCTAAAACACCAAAAGCAATGGCAACAAAAGCCAAAATTGACAAATGGGATCTAATTAAACTAAAGAGCTTCTGCACAGGAAAAGAAACTACCATCAGAGTGAACAGGCAACCTACAAAGTGGAAGAAAATTTTTGCAACCTACTCATCTGACAAAGGGCTAATATCCAGAATCTACAATGAACTCAAACAAATTTACAAGAAAAAAACAAACAACCCCATCAAAAAGTGGGTGAAGGACATGAACAGACACTTCTCGAAAGAAGACATTTATGCAGCCAAAAAACACATGAAAAAATGCTCACCATCACTGGCCGTCAGAGAAATGCAAATCAAAACCACAATGAGATACCATCTCACACCAGTTAGAATGGCAATCATTAAAAAGTCAGGAAACAACAGGTGCTGGAGAGGATGTGGAGAAATAGGAACACTTTTACACTGTTGGTGGGACTGTAAACTAGTTCAACCATTGTGGAAGTCAGTGTGGCAATTCCTCAGGGATCTAGAACTAGAAATACCATTTGACCCAGCCATCCCATTACTGGGTATATACCCAAGAGACTATAAATCATGCTGCTATAAAGACACATGCACACGTATGTTTATTGCAGCATTATTCACAATAGCAAAGACTTGGAACCAACCCAAATGTCCAACAATGATAGACTGGATTAAGAAAATGTGGCACATATACACCATGGAATACTATGCAGCCATAAAAAATGATGAGTTCATGTCCTTTGTAGGGACGTGGATGAAATTGGAAATCATCTTTCTCAGTAAACTATTGCAAGAACAAAAAACCAAACACCGCATATTCTCACTCATAGGTGGGAATTGAACAATGAGAACACATGGACACAGGAAGGGGAACATCACACTCTGGGGACTGTTGTGGGGTGGGGGGAGGGGGGAGGGATAGCATTGGGAGATATACCTAATGCTAGATGACGAGTTGGGGTGCAGCGCACCAGCATGGCACATGTATACATATGTAACTAACCTGCACATTGTGCACATGTACCCTAAAACTTAAAGTATAATAATAATAAATTAAATTAAATTAAATTAAATTAAAAAAAAGAAAGTAAAATATTTTATTTTCTCTCCTAGCTGGTTGTTGTTTGTATATATGATGGTTATTGATTTCTAACATTGTATCTATCTAAAACTATGTGATTGTATCATCTCCTTGTGGTAGATTGAACACAGGGCCACAATTTCTTCCTAATCTGACATCTGTGCCCTCGTAATGTAATGTTGTAGATCCTATCATCAAGAAGTAAGGTCTGTTTTCTTCACTCCTCAATTCTGGATTGGCCATATCATTCACTTTGGTCATGAAACATTAGCAAAGATGACACAACCAGAAGCTTGAAAAGTGTTTGTGGATTAGGGCTAGACCTCAGTCTGCTCTTGGAAATCTGCCACTATGTGAATAAACCTAGGCTAGCCTTCTGGATGATAAGAGACTAGCTGCCTCCTATGATTCTAGACAACAGCCTGCCTACTGTTAGACGTATGAATGAAGCTATCTGAAATCACCTAGCTGCCAACCAACCACTAACTACGGACATCTGAGAAAACCCAGCAATCAGCCAGGGTGGCCTAGACCAGAAGAGCTGCAGTCCACCAAATCATAAGTGAAATAAATGATTATTATTTTAAACCACTGCTACTTTTTGGGGTAATACACAGCAAACACAGACAAACTATTCAAAATACTAAATAAATGTAATAAAAATATTGGAAGGATCCAAATGTCCATCAATGGGAAATTGGTTAAATAAACTATAGTACATCCAAACAATGGCAATAACGGGGAGCACTGGCAAAGAAATTTGTGTATGAAATATTGTGCTGTGAAAAAAAGCAAATTATTCAATAGTATATATTGAATTATCTGACTTACCAAAAAATATGTGTGGTTTCTTTGGGGTGGGATTCTGAGGGAATTCACTTTCTTTTTAAAAATGGTTTTACCTGGGCTTGGTGGCTTATGCCTGTAATCCCTGCACTTTGGAAGACTGATGTGGGAGGATCACCCATGGCCAGGAGTTCAAAACTAGCCCAGGCAACACAGTGAGACGATCTCTACAAAAAATGAAAATATTAGCCAGGCGTGGTGGCACATACCTGTAGTCTCAGCTACTTGGAAGATTCCTCCAGCCCAGGAGTTTAAGGCTGTAATTAGCCATGATTACTCCACTGCTGGGCAACAGAGTGTGACCCTGTTTCATTTAAAAAAAAAAAAAAAAGTCTGTTGTTTACAATTTTGCAACATCTATATTCCATTTACAATCATAAAACAAAACAGTATTGAGGTCCAGGTAACTTGTGATACACCCAGAAAAAATAATTAAAGATAAGTGGTACATTTTCATGCCTGGTTTATTTTTTCTTTTTCTTAAAATGACAGAATATCCAGCTCAGTATGAATATTAGGAAACCAGATAAATATATTTCTCACTGGCCTGTTTTGTCCATACCAAGCCTCTAATTGTCAAGATGATTCTGTTGAAAGATTCTCAATGAGAGGTGGAAAAAAAGAAGTAGGTTTTACTTTTAAGAAAGTTCAACAAATTTTTTCAAATTTTTTGAAATTCAAGAAGTTTTTTCATTATATCTAGCCAATCTATTTATTATAAATAATATTTTTTATTTGCGAATTTCATAGCAGTTGTTTAAAAGCTTTTACTTTGAGGTAATTATATCACCAGTGGCAGCCAAGAAATAACAGAGAAATTCTGTTCAGTCTTCCTCCAGCATCCCCCAATGTCAATATCTTCCACAACTACAGTACAGTCTCAAAATCAAGAAATAGATATTGGTGCAATCTATAGAGCTTATTTATTTATTTATTTATTTATTTATTTATTTATTTATTTATGAGACAGGGTCTCAATCTGTAACTCAAGCTGAAGTGCAGTAGTGTGATCACAGCTCACTACAGCCTTGACCTCCTAGGCTCCAGTGATCCTCCCACCTCAGCCTCCCAAGTAGCTGGGATTACAGGCATGTGCCACCTGGCTAATTTTTTTTAAAAAACCTTTTGTAAAGATGGGATCTCCCTGTGTTGCTCAGGCTGGTCTTGAACTCCTGGGCTCAAGTGATCATCCTGCCCCAGCCTCCCAAAGTGCTGGGATTATAGGCGTGAACCACTGCACCCAGCCCTATAGAGCTTATTTAAATTTCACCAGTTATACATATACTTGTGTGTGTGTGTGTAGCTCTATGCAATTTTAGTACATGTAGAAACTTGTATAACCACCACCACAGTCAAGGTATTCAACTGTCCCATCCCCACAAGACTCTATCATGTCATCACTTTATAGCCACATCGATCTCCTCTCTCTCATTCTAACCCATGGCAACCACTATTCTGTTCTCCATCTCTATTATTATGTTATTTCATGAATGGTTAGTAAATGGAATCATCCAATATATACCCTTTGAGTTTGGCTGTTTTTACTCAGCATAATTTTTTTGAGGTTCTTCCAAGATATATATATCAGAAGTTTGTTTCTTTTTTGATACAGAGATGAGTGATGTCAGTAAGACGGCCAATTAGAAGCCCGTAGCACTCACTCTCCAGTGGGGTCAAGGTGGAATCACCCCACTTACCCTTCCCTCTCAATCTTTGGGCCAGAGCTGAAGTTTTGTAGTCCCTCCTGGGGAAATGCTTTGGCAGAACTCCGTCTACCTCTTTCAGCTGTGGCTGCCCCTGCCCCATGGCCTGAACTGAAACTGTGCACTGCTTCCTACAGGAACAGTGCTGTGGAGCCCTGCATCCCAGGGATAGTCACAACCCCCCTCCACCCCAGCTGGAATGGCACCATGCTCTGCTGGAGAATTGGAGCCTTGGACAAGCTGAGCAGTAGAACATCTCAAGACTGGGCTGATATAGTACCCTGAATCCCAGGGTGGCAAAGCAGTGTGGCTGAACTAAGACACTCCACGCTACAGTTCTACAGACTAAGCAACTCTAGTACCCTGCTTTCCTGGAGCTGGACTAGCCCCCTAGAGTCTGAGCTGCTGAGTTACTACTCTCCCTGGGGAGGTGGAGTCATTGCTGTGCTGTTCCCTGCCCCCCAGAGCCCAAATGACAGCCATAATCAGCCATTCAGAAGTACTTGCTGCCACTGCACCTGATGTCACAGAGTCTGGGATACTGCCAAGCCTCACCATCTCAGGGCCTACAGTCACCACTACATAGTGCCTTATCCCTAGGAACCCAAGTTGCTATTAAGTCCTATTGACTCTGGCTCCTGAATTATAGCTGACCCTACAGCCTAGGCTCAAACTCCAGAGTACTCCTTCTTTGGAGTCAGGCCAGGGCTGTGCCCTGCCCCTCAAGGGTAGAATCACAGCTACAACCCCAACCCCCTGGCCCCAAGCTGCTAGGGGATGTCTCAGAGTCACAGATCCTAGCACTGTGGGCAATCTACATTCAACCCTGCCACAGACAGCAAACCTGCACCACAAGATTCAGGTGCCATAATAGGTTTGCAAGAACCTGAGCCTATGACCCTAGCCCAAGACCTACTGCATCTGAAATCCAGTGCCACTGAAGCTGCTTGCAGGGCCATCAGTCCTGACACCAAGAGGGATCCCCTTGGCTAAGTCTCCATTGTGGTGAAAATGAGAATAGGAGGACCCCAAAAGCCCTTGACAGCAAGGACATTAACAACCTACACCACTGCTACTGCCACTGCCACTGCCACTGCCACTACCACAACCACAAACTTCTATAGCCTAGGCCACTGTGACATTCAGAGTTATTGCTGACATTGAATGCAGCTGAAGAAGCTGATTGGAGATTATACCACTGCACCTATCTGGAAACGGAGTTACCACACCCCTCCCAACTGGCCCACTAAAACCTAATGCAGGTAAAAGTCTTTCTCTGTGAAAGCCACTCTAGAAATTTTGGAAGAGGTGATTGTTCTGCCAGGTGCACAGACATCAACAAAGAAGCATGAAACAACAAGGAAATGGCACACTACCAAAGGAACATAACTTTCTACTAACAGACCCCAATGAATAGGAAATCAATAAATTTCCAGGAAAGGAATTCAAAGTAATGATTATAAGGGAACTCAATGAGATGCAAAAAGATACAAGTAGACAATTCAATGAAATCAATGGTTCGTTCATTTTATCTTGCTGAGTAGTATTCCATCGCATGGACATACCAAAGTTTGTTTAATCATTTATTCATTAAAGGACATTTGGATAGTTTACAGTTTGGGGCCATTAGAAATAAAGCTGTTATGAGCATGTGTGTAAAAGTTCTTGTGCGGAAATTACATATCTCTGGGATATACAACCAAGAATGTACTGCTGGATTGTTTGGTAAATCCATTTTTTCCATATGTTTAAGATATGACTTATCTATGACATATATCCCAGAGATATGACAGGAGTTGCCAGGCGGTATGGTCTGACTGTGTCCCCTGCAAATTCATATGCTGAAATCCTTACTCCCAAGGTGATGGTATTAGGAGGTGGGACCTTTGGGAGGTGATTAGATAGATCATGATGGCAAAGCCTTTATGAATGGGATTAGTGCCCTTATAAAAGAGACCCCAGAGAGCTAATTTGCCCCTTCTGCCATGTGAGGACACAGTGAAAAGGCAGCCATCTATGAACTCTCACCAGACACCAAATCTGCTGGTGCCTTGATATTGGACTTCCCAGGCTACAAAACTGTAAAAAAAAATTTCCATTGTTTGTAATTTACTCAGTCTATGCTGTTTTGTTATAGCAGCCTGAAAATAATATGTTGGGCTATTATTCAGACTAGCTGTAATATTTCATTGTAGTTTTAATTTGCATTTCTCTAATGGCTATTGATGTTGAGCATCTTTTCACGTGTTTATTTGCCACTCATATATCCTCTTGGTGAAATGTTTGTGAGCATCTTTCTGTGTCAGTGTCCAATTTTCTAGCGGGATTATTTATTTTTTATGTTGAATTTTCAGAGTTGTTTATACATTCTAGGTAAGAGGCCTTTGTCTGATAAGTGATTTGCAAATATTTTCTTTCAGTCTGTAATTTGTCTTTTCATCCTTTCAACAGGGATTTAAAAAAATTTTTTTTGCAGAGCAAAAGTTTTTTATTTTAATGAGGTAAAATTTATCTATTTTTCCTCTTGTGAATTGTAATTTTGGTCTCAAATCTAGGAACTCTTTACTTAGTCCTAGGTCTCAAGGATTTGCTCCTGTGTTCTTTCACAGAATTTTATAGTTTTGCATTTTACATTTGAGATCATGATCCATTTTAAGTTAATTTTTGCCTAAGGTGTGAGGTCAAGGTTAAAGTTCTTTTTTCTTTTTCCAATGAATGTCCATTTACTCCTACATCATTGGCTGAGAAAGGCTATCCCTCCTACATTGAATTGCCTTTGTTCCCTTATCAAAAATTAACTGGGTGTATTTGTGTGGGTGTATTTCTGTTCCATTGATCTGTCTTTCCCTCTTTCAGTATCACACTCTCTTGATTACTGTGATCAATTTTTAATAGCTGTATTTTTAGGTGATACATATATATAAATATATATCACCTAAAATATAGTATATAAAAATACACTGTATATTAAATATATATATATATTTAACTTTTATTTTAGGTTCAAGGATACATGTGTAGGTTTTGTTATACAGGAAAACTGCATGTCACAGGGATTTGGGGTCCAAATTATTTATTCAGATAATAAGCATAATGCCTGGTAGGTAGTTTTTTATCTTCTCCCTCCTCCCACTTTCCACCCTCAAGTAGGCCCCAGTATCTATTGTACCCTTTTTGTGTCCATGTGTTCTTATTGTTTAGCTCCCGCTTACAAATGAGAATGTGAAATATTTGGTTTTCTGTTCCTGCATTAGTTTGCTTAGGATAATGGCCTTCAGCTCCATCCATGTTGCTGCAAAGGATATGATCTCATTCTTTTTTGTGGCTACACAGTATTCCATGATGTATATGTACCACATTTTCTTTATCCAGTCTACCATTGATAAGTTCATTCCATGTCTTTGCTATTGTGAATACTGCTGCAATAAACATATGCATATATGTGTCTTTATGGCAGAATGATTTCTATTCCTTTGGGTATTAGTCTGTTCTCATACTGCTAATAAAGACATACTGAGGCTGGGTAATTCATAAAGAAAAAGAGATTTAATGGACTCACAGTTCCACATGGCTGGGGAGGCCTCACAATCATGGCGGAAGGTGAAGCAGGAGCAAAGGCATGTCTTACATGGCAGCAGGCAAGAAGGCATGTGCAGGGGAACCGCCCTTTATAAAACCATCAGATCTCATGAGACTTATTCACTATCATGAGAACAGCATGGGAAAAACCTGCCCCATGATTCAATTACCTCCCACCAGGTCCCTCCCATGACATGTGGGGATTATGGAAGCTACAATTCAAGATGGCATTTGGGTGGGGACACAGCCAAACCATATCATTCTGCCTCTGGCCCCTCCCAAATCTCATGTCCTCAGATTCCAAAACTAATCATGCCTTCCCAACAGTCCCCCAAAGTCTTAACTCATTTCAGCATTAACTCAAAAGCCACAGTCCAAAGTCTCTTCTGAGACAAGGTAAGTCCCTCCCAACTATGAGCCTGTAAAGTCAAAGGCAAGTCAGTTACTTCCTAGATACAATGGGGGTACAGGCATTGGGTAAATACACCCATTCCAAAGGGGAGAAATTGGCTAAAACGAAGGGGCTATAGGCCCCATGCAAGTCTGAAATCCAATGGGGCAGTCAAATCTTAAAGCTCCAAAATGATCTCCTTTGACTCTGTGTCTCACATCCAGGTCACACTGATACAAGAGGTGGGCTCCCATGGCCTTGGGCAGCTCCACCCCTGTGGCTTTACAAGTTATAGTTCCCTTCCCTGCTGCTTTCACAGGCTGGCATTGAGTGCCTGCAGCTTTTCCATGCACACGATGCAAGCTGCCAGTGAATCTACCATTCTGGGGTCTGGAGGACTATGGCCCTCTTCTCACAGCTCCACTAGGGAGTGCCCCAGTGGGGACGCTGTGTGGGGGCTCCAGCCCCACATTTCCCTTCTGCACTGCCCTCACAGAGGTTCTCCATGAAGGTTCCACCCCTGCAGCACACTTCTGCCTGGACACCCAGGCATTTCTATACATCCTCTGAAATCTAGGTGGAGGTTCCCAAATCTCAATTCTTGCCTTCTCTGCACCCACAGGCCCAACACCACATGTCAGCCACCAAGCCTTGGGGCTTGCACCCTCTGAAGCAATGGCTTGAGTTTTATGTTGGCCCTTTTTAGCCATGGCTGTAGCTGAAGCAGCTGGGACTCAGGGCACCATGTCCCTAGGCTGCACACAGCAGGGGAGCCTGGCCAAGTCCATGAAGCCATTTTTTCCTCCTAGGCCTCCAGATCTATGATAGAAGGTGGCTACCGCAAAGGTCTTTGACATGCCCTGGAGACATTTTCCCCTTTGTCTTGGTGATTAACTTTCAACTCTTTGTTATTTATGCAAATTTCTGCAGCAGGCTTGAATTTCTCCCCCAAAAAATAGGTCTTTCTTTTCTACTGCATCATCAGGCTGCAAATTTTCAAACTTTTATGCTCTGCTTCCTCTTGAATGCTTTGCTGCTTAGAATTTCTTCCACCAGATACTCTAAATCATCTCTCTCAAGTTCAAAGTTCCACACTTCTGTAGGGCAGGGGCAAAATGTCACCAGTCTCTTTGCTAAAGCATAACAAGAGTCACCTTTGCTCCAGTTCCCAACAACTTCATCATCTCCATCTGAGACCACCTCAGCCTGAACTTTATTTTCCATATCACTATCAGCATTTTGGTCAAAGCCATTCAACAAGTCTCTAGGAAGTTCCAAACTTTCCCACATTTTCCTGTTTTCTGAGCCATCCAAGTCTCTAGGAAGTTCCAAACTTTCCCACTCCAAACTGTTCCAACCTTTGCCTGTTACCCAGTTCCAAAGTTGCTTTCACATTTTTGGGTATCTTTACAGCAGTGCCCCACTCCCAGTATCAATTTACCTTATTAGTCCATTATGCTGCTAATAAAGACATACCTGAGACTGGGTTATTTATAAAGAAACAGGTTTAATGGACTCACAGTTCCATATGGCTGGGCAGGCCTCACAATCGTGGCAGAAGGCAAAGGAGGAGCAAAGGCACATCTTACATGGTGGCAGGCAGGAGAGCATGTGCAGGGGAGCTGTCCTTTATAAAACCATCAGATCTCATGGGACTTATTCACTATCATGAGAACAGCATGGGAAAAACCTGCCCCCATGATTCAATTGCCTCCCACTTGGTCCCGCCCAAGACAGGTGGAGATTATGGGAGCTACAATTCAAGATGATATTTGGCTGGGGACACAGCCAAACCTCATCAAGTATATACCCAATAATTGCATTGCTAGGTTGAATGGTAATTTTGTTTTGAGTTCTTTGAGGAATTATGGCACTGCTTTCCACAATGGCTGAACTAATTTACATTCCCACCAGCTGTGTATAAGTATATCCTTTTCTCTGCAATCTCACCAGCATCTGTTATTTTTTCTTTTTTAATAACAGCCATTCTGACTGGTATGAGATAGTATCTCATTGTGGTTTTGATTTGGATTTCTTCAATAACTGGTGATGAACATTTTTTCATATACTTGTTGGATGCATGTATGTCTTCTTTTGAAAAGTGTCTGAGATGGAGTCTTGCTCCATTGCCCAGGCTGGAGTGCAGAGGCACAATCTCAATTCACTGCAACCTCTGCCTCCTGGGTTCAAGAGATTCTCCTGCCTCAGCCTCCTGAGTAGCTGGGACTACAGGTGTGCGCCACCACACCTGGCTAATTTTTTGTATTTTTAGTAGAGATGGGGTTTCACCATGTTGGCCAGGATGGTCTCGATCTCTTGACCTTGTGATCCGCCCACCTCAGCCTTCCAAAGTGCTGGGATTACAGGCATGAGCCACCATGCCCGGCCTTCTTTGCCCACTTTTTAATGGGGTTGTTTTTGCTTATAGATTTTAGTATTGTATAGACTCTGGATATTAGACTTTTGTCAGATGCGTAGCTTGCAAATATTTTCTCTCATGCTGTAGGTTGTCTGTTTACTCTGTTGATAGTTTATTTTGCTATGTAGAAGCTATTTAGTTTAGTTAGGTCCCATTTGTTAATGTTTGTTTTTGTTGCAATTGCTTTTGATGTCTTCATCATGAAATCTTTGTCAGGTCCTGTGCCCAGAATGTTATTTCCTATGTTATCTTCCAGGGCTTTTATAGTTTTTGGTTTTACATTTAAGTCGTTAATCCATCTTGAGTCTATTTTTGTATATAGTGTAAGAAATGGGTACAGTTTCAGTATTCTGCATATGGCTCTCCAGTTATCTCAGCACCATTTATTGAATAGGAAGTCCTCTCCCCATTGTTTGTTTTTGTCAAGTTTGTCAAAGATTAGATGGTTGTGTGTGACATTATTTCTGGGTTCTCTATTCTGTTCCATTGGTCTATGTGTCTGTTTTTATACCAGTACCATGCTGTTTTGGTTACTGTAGCCTTGTAGTATAGTTGTTGTTGTTGTTGTTTTTTTTTTAAGACAGAGTTTTGCTCTTGTTGCCCAGGCTGGAGTGCAATGGCATGATCTCAGCTCATCGCAACCTCTGCCTCCCGGGTTCAAGCAATTCTCCTGCCTCAGTATCCTGAGTAGCTGGGATTACAGGCATGTGCCACCACATCCAGCTAACTTTTGTATTTTTAGTAGAGACAGGGTTTCTCCATGTTGGTCAGGTTGGTCTCAAACTCCTGACCTCACGTGATCCACCCACCTCAGCCTCCCAAAGTGCTGGGATTACAGGTGTGAGCCACCACGCCCAGCCAACCTTGTAGTTAGTTTTAAGTCAGGTAGCATGATGCCTCCAGCTTTGTCTTTTTTTTTTTTTTTTTTTTTTTTTTGAGATAGGGTTTCACTCTGTTGCCTAAGCTAAAGTGCAATAGCGCAATTTCAGCTCATTGCAACCTCCACCTCCCAGGTTCAAGCAATCCACCCACCTCAGCCTCTTGAGTAGCTGAGACTACAGGTGTGTGCCACCATGCCCAGCTGATTTTTGTATTTTTTATAGAGATGGAGTTCCACCATTTTGCCCAGGCTGGTCTCAAACTTCTGAGCTCACATGATCTGCCTACTTTGGCCTCCCAAAGTGCTGGAATTACAGGTATGAACCACAACACCTGGCTCCTAGGTTTCTTCTTTTTGCTTAGGATTGCCTTGGCTATTCAGGCCCCTTTTTGGTTCCATATGAATTTTTAAATGTTTTTTCCTCACTCTGTGATGAGTGTTATTGGTAGCTTGATACAAATAACATTCAATTTGTAAATTGCTTTGAGCAGTATGACCATCTTAACAATACTGATTCTTCCTATCCATGAGCATGGAATGTTTTTTTCATTTATTTTTGTCATCTCTGATTTCTTTGAGCAGTGTTTTGTAATTCTCATTATAAAGCTCTTTCACCTCCCTGGTTAGCTGTATTCCTATGTATTTTATTCTTTTTGTGGCTATTGTGAATGGTGTTATGTTCTTGATTTGGTTCTCTGCTTGGATGTTGTTTGTGTATAGAAAGGCTACTGATTTTTGTACATTGATTTTGTATCCTGAAACTTTGCTGAAGTTATCAGATCTAGGAGCTTTTGGGTAGAGACTATGGGGTTTTTTAGGTATAGATCATATTGTCTGCAGAGATAGTTTGACTTCTTCTCTTCCTATTTAGATGCCTTTTATTTCTTTCTCTTGCCTGATTGCTCTGGCTAGGACTTTCAGTACTATGTGAATAGAGGTGGTGAGAGTGGGCATCCTTGGCTTGCTGTGGTTCTCAAAGGGAATGCTTCTAGCTTTTGCCTATTCAGTATGATTTTGGCTATGGGTTTATCATAGATAGCTCTTATTATTTGGAGGTATGTTCTTTCAATGCCTAGAGGATTTTTAACATGAATAAATGTTGAATTTTATCAAAAGCCTTTTCTGCATCTATTGAAATGATCATGTGGTTTTTAGTTCTGTTTATATAGTGTATCACATTTATTAATTTGTGTATGTTGAACCAACCGTGCATCCCAGGGATAAAGCCTACTTGATCATGGTGGGTTAGCTTTTTGATGTGCTGCTGGATTCAGTTTGCTAGTATTTTGTTGAGAATTTTTGCATCTGTGTTCATCAAGGATATTAGCATGAAGTTTTCTTCTTTTGTTGTGTCTCTGCCAAGTTTTGGTATCAGGATGATGCTGTCATCATACAATGAGTTAGGAATGTGTCCTCCTCCTCAAGTTTTTGAAGTAGTTTCATTAGGAATGGTACCAGTTCTTTATGCATCTGGTAGAATTCAGCTGTGAATCATCTGGTCCTGGGTCTTTTCTGGTTGGTAGGCTTTTTATTACTGGTTCAATTTTGGAACTCAATATTGGTCTGTTCAGGGATTCAACTTCTTCCTGGTTAAATCTTGGGAGGTTATGTTTCCAGGAATGTATCAACCTTTCTTCTGGGTTCTCTAGTTTATGTGTTTCCAGGAATTTATCAACCATTTCTCCTAGGTTTTCTAGTTTGTGTGCATAGAGCTGTTCATAGCAGTCTCTGAGGGTTTTTTGTATTTCTGTGAGGTTGGTAGTAATGTCCCGTTTGTCATTCTGATTCTGTTTATTTGGATATTTTCTTTTTTTCTTCATTAGTCTAGCTAGTGGTCTATCAATCTTGTTGATTCTTTCAGAAAAAAAATGCCTGGATTTGCTGATCTTTTTAACGGCTTTTGAGTCTCATTTTTTTTTTCAGTTCAGCTCTGATTTTGGTTATTTCTTGTCTTCTGCTAGCTTTGGGGTTGGTTTGCTCTTGTTTCTCTAGTTCCTCTAGGTGGGATGTTAGATTGTTAATTTGAGATCTTTTTAACTTTTTTATATGGGTGTTTAGTGCTATAAACTTTCCTCTGAACACTGTTTCAGCTGTGTCCTAGAGTTTCTGGTATGTTGTATCTTTGTTCTCATTAGTTTCAAATAATGTATTGATTTCTGCCTTAATTTCATTGTTTACCCAAAAGTCATGCAGGAGCAGGTTGTTTAATTTCCATGTAACTGTATGGTTTTGAGATAATAACTTGTTTATTGTTTAGAAAGGAGAGCAAACTGGGGATGGGAAGAGGAGAAGCTATCATTTATTTATTGTTTAAATGTGAATGTGCCATAGTCATCATGGTGTGATTTCAACAAAGCCACAAAGTAGATATTAATATCCTTATCTTCTGTAAGAGGAAGTTGAGTTTCATAGTGTATGAATAACTGGCCAGAATCATAGAGATTAGTGCAGCTTCTTAACCTTTATTTTGGAGAGGTTGCTTGGGCAAATATCCGTGAGGCATCTGGACCCAAGTTCATATCACTTGCAGGAACTGTGGACTCTGATGGTGTGAATTCAGCCATGGATAATCTCTTTATGGTAGGATGACTTTGGAAAGAAAAGATATTTATGCAGTTTCCATGGGTTTCATAATTCTGTATTCTGAATGGTGCCCTGTCTTTGTGTCCCGCTTTGCCATTCAGAGGTGCTTAATTAATTAAGGCCTCATTTGGCCATGTTAACAGAAAATTATGTTTTTTCTTCTACCAGTACCTTTTTATTTGATGTTCAAAGATTCCAGTGGTGCTTACTCAGTCCAGAGTATCAATCTTGTTTACTCTTACTGCATACTGAAGCTGGACAGCCCAGACAACTCAGAAAAATGAACTGTTCATTATAACTACTGCAACTGTTGCTAACCTCAGTCTTTTTTTTTTTTTTTAGACAGAGTCTCACTCTGTCACCCAGGCTGGAGTGCAATGGCGTGATCTTGGCTCACTGCAACTTCCGCCTCCTGGGTTCAAGCGATTCTCCTGCCTCAGCCTCCCAAGTAGCTAGGACTACAGGTGCCCACCACCACACCTGGCTAATTTTTGTATTTTTAGTAGAGACGGGGTTTTACCATATTGGTCAGGCTGGTCTCGAACTCCTGAGCTTGTGATCTGCCCACCTAGGCCTCCCAAAGTGCTGGGATTACAGGCATGAGCCACCACGCCTGGCCTGACCCACCACGCCTGGCCTGACCTCAGTCTTCCTTGAGGAGAGGCCAATACTGCCCTTTCACCAGCCTGGACACAGTTGCTGCTGAAGCATGTAGCTAAATATGGGCAGCCCAGTCAGATGGAATAGATTTTCTAGTTTTCTTCTCTGTTGCCAGGATGCTGATGCGTGGTGACCCCAAATCAACCACCCATAGGGCTTCAGACTGAGAATCCCTCTCTTTTAGCCTGAAAATAGAGATATCAATCCCCCCCCAACAAAGCTGGCCCCTTCCAGATGACTCTTATTTTCTAGTCCTGCCCCTGCCCTAACAGAATCTGGAAGGGCTCCCTCTTAATGGGGCTCTCAGCCTTACCCAGGCATGGTCCATCAAGATGTAGTTATGACAGGGAAAAACCAAGGCCTGGGTTATCCAGACAGAACTACTGAGAAAAAATCTTCCAGAAGCTGCTGAGATGAGAGAAAGACAGGAGTGATTATGGAAAAGACCACCACTCATGAAGCATGTAGTAATATGCCAGGAACTGAGACAATGTATTAATAATGACTTTCTGTGTTTCTGTAAGATGTCTGGTTTGACATCTTAGGAGCCCTACTGGCAGGGGAGGGACTGCTCCTTCCAGGGCTAGTTAATTCCTAGACACAGTAAATAACTTGCCTGGGAAAACACCTTTCATTTGCAACACAACAAATCCAAAGCCACACCCCCAAACCTTTGGGGGTCGTGGCTATATCTAACTATCACACACCAAGCCAATATTTGTCCTATCCTAAATCACCCCTGGGCCAGGTACCTAACAACTAGAGCCCATCCCTATAGTCCAGAGTCTGTGGAAATTATTCAAACTAGCAAATTTTAAACTATTTACTGTCTTGCTCCTTCCTTCTCATGGAAATCACAATAAAGTCTTTGAGCCATGCTTTCCTCCTGCTCCTATGCCTTCTAACTGACCCAGGTGCTTCCACATGTGGTCCTGAGTGGAATGGCATGTACCCTTCTCTAGATAACTGAATTACAATGAAATCTTCTTTCAATGACATTAGCCTCTCTCTGCAATCGCTCAGTCATCTCCAAAAGTGAAAATCCTACAAGTACAATCAAGACACATAGGCACTTTACATATGTAATCCCATCAAACTCTCACATCTTCTAGGAAACTGAGGCTCATTGAAGACCCTTCACAAGCTCCTACAGTTTTAGTGCAGAGCCAAAATTTAAGCTCAAGTTTTTTGGACTTTACAGCCTATGCTTTTTAAATTACAACACGACACTGAGTCCCTTGACCCCCCATTTGCCCTGTAAGTCCTCACCCTGGAGGGACTAGAAATCAAAAGTGTTGGATTATAATTCATCTAGGACCTTGCTATGGACTGAATTTTGTCCCCCTTCACTACACCCCCAAATTCATACGTCAAAGTCTTAACCCCCTATGTGAATATATTCGAGATGGAGTCTTTAAGTAGGTGATTAAGGTTAAATGAGGTCATAAGAGTGGAGCTCTGATTTAATAGAACTGGTACCCTTATAAGAAGAAGAAGAGATTCAGAACTCTTTCTTCACCATAGGAAGATACAGGGAGAAGGTGGCAGTCTGCAAAGCCAGGAAGAGAGCCCTTACAAGAACCTAATGATGCTAGTTCCGATCTCAGACTTCCAGCCTCTAAAACTGTGAGAAAATTAATTTCTGTTGTTTAAGCCACCCAGTCTGTGGTATTTTGATATGACAGCCCTGAGTTGACTAAGATAGCCCCTACCTCATTTCTATACCTTGGCCAATCACTTCTCTCTGAACGTTAGTTACTCATATAACCATAAACAGTTTTATTTGTAAAGGTACAATTCTCAAATTATTAAGACCAAATCTCAGTTCTGCTTCTGATTCTATTATAGAAAATCACAAAAGGGTGTCAATCTCATGCTAAAAATCAAAACAAGCCAGACATAATTTTTTTAAATGCTTCAGAGAACTGAAGGTCCAGGTATGGTGGCTACTAGGGCAGCTGAGGCCTGGAGTTCCAGACCAGCCTGAGCAAGATAGCGAGACTCTTACCTCTATAAGAAAGAAAGAGAGAAAGAAAATAAAGAAGGGACTAAAGACACAAAGGAATCTAGAAAGAAAAGAAACACAAACTCCAGAAAGTAGCCCTTATCTAGGAAAGATAAGACCCACAGCTGCTCTCATCACTGGAGCAAGAACAGGTTAGGGGAAAAAAAAAAACCATGGATGGGAATAATGAGAAATTAGCTAGTTTTTCACCAATATATAATAATGGGCTAGTGAAACAGATTAAATCCCAAAGATACCCAGCCACAGAGCAAGTCTGCATCCACTCATTCACTTTTTCCCGTGGGTCATTATACAACAGTAGTAGGTAAAAAGTTAGAAGGAGAGAAGAAAAGTTAAGAGAGATCCCCTGTTGGGGTGTGTGGAGTCTTCTGCAAGTTCATAGCTCTTTCTGGAGGCAAGGGAACAGGGAAGACGAGTGGAGAGAAATCCATCAGACGTACTCTAATGTCCAACTGTGAAAGTTGAGATAGGTCAGGAATCCTCACAAGCAATGCAGGCATTCAACTACCAAAGCCTAAAGACTTAGTAGGAAAGCTAAGAAACTCCTCTGAAACATTCTGGACCTTCATGGAGAGCAGAGAAGCTGTCCTCCAAAGGCCAGAGGGTGAGCAGCAAGGCTTCAAGAGACCTCTACACACACAAACAGGAGACTAGACTGAAAAACAAAGAAAACTCCCAGTAACCCATAACCTGACAGCTTGGCTGTGAAGCAGGAAGAGATTCCCCCAGGTGACATGGCTGGGAAGCACAGATGGATCTCTAGGATGTTGTTAATTCTCAGATCCCAGGCTCTGCTGAAGAGAAGCCCTCATTCTACTCCATAACACTTGAAGTCAGTGGTGAACAGAAACTAACTAAAACCACAACACAGTCAAACACAGCTCAACTACACATCAGATAGACTTAGTTCCATGCCAATAGCCTGACACAGAAGAGGAAGTGGATCTGGAGATGGTCTTTAATGGAAATCACCACCAAGAAAGAAATTTTTTTTTGAGATTACAGTTTTATCTCTTGTTTACTAAATGTAAATTGTGTGTTTGCATGTATGCATATATATGTGTGTGTATATATCCATATGCAAAAAAAAAAACTTGGGTCTATACATTGCACCATTTCACCATACATAAAAATTAACCCAAAATGGATCATAAACCTAAATGTGAAACATAAATCTATAAAACTTCTTAAAACAAACATAGTAGAAAATCTTTGGACCTTGGGTTGGGCAAAAATTTCTTAGATACAGCACCAAAAGCACAACCCATAAAAACAAATCAATAAATTGGACTTCATCAAAATTGAAAACTATTCTTCAAAAGACAATGTTAAGAGACTGAAAGACAACCCACAGGTCACAGACTATGAGAAAATATTTACAAAGCAAATATTTGATAAAGAATTTGTATCTAGTCTGGGCGTGGTGGCTCACGCCTGTAACCCCAGCACTTTGGGAGGCTGTGGTGGGTGGATCACCTGAGGTCAGGAGTTCAAGACCAGCCTGGCCAACATGGTGAAACCCTGTCTCTACTAAAAATACAAAAATTAGCTGGGCATGGTGGTGGGCACCTGTAATCCCAGCTACTGGGGAGGCTGAGGCAGGAGAATTGCTTGAACTGGGGAGGCAGAGGTTGCAGGGAGCCGAGATTGTGCCACTGCACTCCAGCCTGGGTGACAGAGCGAGACTCTGTCTCAAAAAAAAAGAAAAAAAAAAAGAATTTGTATCTAGAATATATAAAGAACTCTTAAAACTCAGTAATAAGAAAACAATGTTTTTTATGGGCAAAATATTTCAACAAACATTTTACCAAGTAACATATGTAGATGGCAAATGAGCCCATGAAAAAAATGTTCAACATCATTAGTCATTGGTGAAATGCAAATTAAAAGCAAAATGAGATACTATTGCATACCTATTAGAATGACTAAATTAAAAAGACTGACCGTATCATGTGTTGGCAAGGATATGGTGGAACCTGAACTCTCATATGCTGGTTTTACATATGAGACACATATGATTGTAAAATGGTAAAACCTTTGGGAAACAGTTTAACAGTTTCTTAAAAAGTTAAACATACACCTACTATGTGATCCAGACATTCTACTCCTAGGTATTTACCCAAGAGAAAGAAAATAGATGTCCCTACAAAGACTTGAGACACGAATGTTTGTAACAGCTTTATTTGTAATAGCCCCAAAATGGAAACAAACCAAATGTCCATCAACAGATGACTGGAATAACAAATTGTAGTACAGCTGTACAATGGAATAGTACTCAGCAAAAAAATGGACTTTTGATACATGCAATGACATGGGTGAATCTTAAAATAATTATGCAGAGTTAAGCTAGACAACAAAGAGTAGATACTATGTGATTCTGTTTATTTAAAACTAGAAAATGCAAACTATCATCACGGAAAGCATATCAGTGGCTGCTTGGGAATGGGGGAGTGAGGCTAAAGAAAGGGAGGAATTACAAAGGGGCACAGAAAACTTTTGGAGATAATGGGTATGTTCATTGTTTTGGTGGTGATCATTTCAGGTGTGTATACATATTTTAAAACATCAATTTGTGGCCGGGCGCGGTGGCTCATGCTTGTAATCCCAGCACTTTGGGAGGCCGAAGCGGGCAGATCACGAGGTCAGGAGATCGAGACCATCCTGGCTAACACGGTGAAACCCCATCTCTATTAAAAATACAAAAAATTAGCCAGGCGTGGTGGCAGGCACCTGTAGTCCCAGCTACTCGGGAGGCTGAGGCAGGAGGATGGCATAAACCCGGGAGGCAGAGCTTGCAGTGAGCCAAGCGCCACTGCACTCCAGGCTGGGCTAGAGTGTGAGACTCCGTCTCAAAAAAAAAAAAAAAATCAATTTGTATACTTTAAATATATGCGGTTTATTTTATATATATATGTTATATCTCAATGAGCTAGTTTAAAAAAAACAATAACATACTACTTCCTACACACCAGATAGACTACAATTAAAAGTATGGGCAATACTAAAGGTATGGAGAAACAGAACTTTCATCATTGCTGGTAGGAGTCTAAATACGCCCAATTACTTTGGAAAACTAGCAGAATTTACTGCAGCTAAACAAACACCTATCCTATGACCCAACAATTCCATTGCTTGGACTATAGTCAAGAGACATGAGTGCATATGTCTACCAAAAACACCTATAAGAATATCCATAGTAACTATTCATATTTACCAAAGGAATGAAAAAAATTCATCAGTAGTTGAATTGATAAATTCTGGCATATTCATACAAAGTAATACTACACAGAAAAAAATGAGCCACTGCTACAAAGTGGCAACACATGGAGGAATTTCAGAGACATAATGTTGAGTGAGACAAGCTGACATGAAGAAAACATACTCTCTGATTCCATTATTATGACACCCAGAACAGGAAAAAACTAATGGTGACAGAGATAAAAATACTGTCTACTGGGCGCCTGTAGTCCCAGCTACTCGGGAGGCTGAGGTAGGAGAATGGCGTGAACCCGGGAGGTGGAGCTTGCAGTGAGCCGAGATAGCGCCACTGCACTCCAGCCTGGGCGACAGAATGAGACTCCATCTCAAAAAAAAAAAAAAAAAAAATACTGCCTACCTTTGAAGAAATGTTGATTGGAAGGAGGCATAGGGAGACTTTGGGTTACTGGATATATTCTGTATGTTGATATTACGTTTTACACATCTGTGTTTCTCTTATAGATGGTTAACACAGGAGTTACACGGGGAGTATGTAAAAATTCTTTCAACTGTACATTTAAAATGTGTTAACTTAGTAAATATAATACACCAATGAAAAGTAAAAAAAATAAATAAATGAACAGACACTCAAATTCCATGATTTAACGAGAGAGACTGGTAAGGAGAAACACGGATATGTAAAACATAATTTCAAGAAAATAGGCAGTGGAAATTTCACAAAGAATTTTAAATTATAAATACAGAGTTGCTCTTGTTATTTTTTCAGGAATTCTTAGTTGGCTCTGACTTCCTCCTCCCAAACTAGTTGTCTCCCAAACCTAATTGTCTGTGAGTTATTAAGGATTACTGAAAATTTGTTTTAATAAACTAAAATTAGCACATTAATAGGGTTTAGTGATTACTCTAAATTAGTATCCTACAAAGAAGTCTGGCTGCGTGCAATGTTAACTGTACATAAATAGTTAGAATTCCCCTAATTTTCAGAAAGGATGTTTTGCTATCAGTCCCATGGTTTTCGGTTCCTGCCTTTTTGCTTTGTAATGATCATTTCCCGTAAGTGTAGATTTACATCACAATGCTTTATGTTTATAATTATAATTAACAACATATATGCATTTTGCTTCAGATGTTAATATTCATAAGCATAATGCTAAAGTAGATGTATATAATTCAACCAAACTTGACTTTTTAAGTGACAGTTCATCATAATTACTCAGTACTTTTTCCTCAGAAAAGTAGCAACAGGTGGAGTAAAGTAGGTTTTGGGATAGTTTTCTGAGGTATTGCTCCTCACACTTGAGGGCATTAGCTGCAGGGGTCTGCCCTCAGACCCTGACCCAAATGACAGAAGAATAAAACATACATTGACACGTAGATATTGTTAGAAGCTGGAAAGGGAGTGTCTGCCTAGATGATAGGACTGAAAAAAGGCAGATTTAAGGGATGAGCTTAATAGAGTGTAGCAGGTATAGGTAGTAGGTAAAGTGAGAGAATTTAAAATGAATAAATTATCTGGCTTAGACTTTTCCTTCTTTAGCATAATGCCTGGGACCTGTGTTGTCTTCGGAAGCCACATTGTTGAGGCTGCGGGTCCTGTATGTCTTTTCTCAGGCTGGCTTGAGTTTTTTCTTCTTTCCATCCTTTGATAAGAATGTAGTCTCCAGGCTGGTGCTGGTGTACTGGAAATTCTAGGGGTGGTGCCTGTGCTGAGAGACTTTTTACAGTCTTTAAAGAGCAGGTTAGTGTTTTAAGAAAAACTTGTTGTACTTTAATGTCTAGTTTACAGAAAAACTGGATGATACCTTTTTTATTTTAGCCAATATGTTTACACACAGAATTTTTTTTACAATTAACGTTTTAAAACTTGTTTAGACCTTCAAAACAAAAATTATATATTTCCTGCATAAATTCCTTTTCATAACATTCTTCACAACTTTCACAGACAATCTTTAACATGGCTTAACTTTCTGACTATGTTTTATAACCTTCCTTACTAAAGGTGCATTCTTATATCTGTAACTTTAATATTTCTTTCCTTTCTTCCTACTTTCTCTCCTTAGTCTTTTTGTGTCTGTCTCTGATCTGTCTTTTCTAGTCTCTTTCTTACTCATTCTTTCCCTTTATTTCTCTTTTTAATGTGCACTAATTAGGTGAGTGTTGGTATTAACGGATACATGTATATATCTTAGTTTCCCAAATTTAGGGATGTAACATCTGTTTGCCACAACTGATTAGGTTCCAATCCTCTAGGGTTAACACCTGTTGAAAGAGGGGCTGTGCCTGTGAGCTGGCAATCTGGGCACCGTCAGATAATTTGTTTAGCCAATCTCTGTATAAGTTGAAGTTGTTTAAGATGAGTTTCTCTAATTTTAGTAGAAAAATTGATGCAATTGGGTGGCTTGGTCTAGCAGTGATGTTACAACCTGAAGAGCTGCTTGATCATTGCCATAAGCCAATGGGCCAGGCAGAGAGCTGTGGGCTCGAATGTGTGTAATAAAAACAGGATGTGTACGTTGGTGTAGCAATTGCTGAAGTCGGAGAAAAAGAGCACACAGAGTGGTCTCCAGAGCTAACTTCATGCTGTAAAAGTTCTTTAATAAATAAACAGAGTAACCTCAGCTCTCTGAGTGCTAGTAAACTCTGAGTGATGGAATTGTGTGGTCTCTACTAGACTGCCGCTTTTCCATGTTTACCAGACCCATCAGTAAACAGTGTTAAAGCATTAGGTATGGGGAAGTGCAATACCGCTTCGAATTACCTTTTACTTAAAGGAATCCTGATGATATCAGGGTTATAACTTAGCAATTGACTGCATTAATCATTAAGATGGCAAGTTGAAATAAGTAACATGAAATTTAAAAAGAAAATCTGAAAGCATCTCTAGAAGCAGAAACTTAAATAATATACTTTAACCATGTGCTTAAAGCCACAGGCAGAACAGCTTAAATCTTGCAATTGAGTTTTCAAGCTGATCAAGTTTATGGACTTTAATCTGGCCAACAGTCTTGAAAACAGTGACCCAGTAGTTGGGAAACTGAATTCAGGACTCTTTTAGCAAGTAGAAATCAAAAGACTATCTAATCAGTGGGTTACGACAGTCATTCATGCATATGCTTTCACTACACTTACATACAACTTTTCTTCTAATTTAACAAATATGATTTAGTTAGGTTTAAAGTTCTCCTTTAAAGGGTAATGTGTGGTTTTACATGCCTAGCTTTTAACTACTCTTTAACTAATTCATCGGCCTTCTGTAATCTCTCTCCCTTCAGAGGTTACTGTTTTACCTAAATTGGATTTGGAGAGCTACGTCAGGGGTAGGAGAGAGAGAGCAACAGTGGCCATTATCAGAAAAGAGGTTTTTCAAATTCTTACATTTTACTTAAATTTTAGCAGAGAATTATAATCTGGGATGTCGCTTGTAAACAAGGAGCACTTGCCTTGGGTCACCTGCAGAGCTAGAGAGCTGAGCCGGCGGGTCCCTGGGCGGTAGCTGTTTTACTCTTGTAAAAGCGCTGCCTTTTGCCTGTGCTGGCTCTGTTTCTGTGAACTTCCGGGCTGCCGAGCCTTTCTTTTTATTTACTGCTTGCTCGGCTGCACGGCTTTCGGCTCCTAATGCCTTTTTTCTTATCTTTTTATAAACATACACCTGATTGCCTTGCCGATTCTGCATTACTGGGCAGAGTAAGAGCTCTGCTTCTAATGCTGCCCGCTTAAGACAGGGACTGATAGCTGTAGCATATCCTAGGTCTTTTTTCCTATCTATTGGAGGAGGAGGCTCAGGTATAAACCCCCGTTTCCTCTGTTATTTCGGCCCGGTGATATTAGGGTGGAGGGAAGAGGAGGTGATAAGGCAGGTGACATTTTCTCCTCCTTGCTCTTTTTAGGCTCTTCTGCGTGTAACAGAGCTAAGGCTGCTCTAATTAAAGCCTATAACGTTAAAGCTGTTACTGGGACCTGTTGCCTTTGCACATGTTAAGATTTCTCCCCATTTGTTCCCAGAGTTCTACGTCTAGCGTTCCTTCTTCCGGGAACCACGGGCTTGGGATCACAAGAGTTTGCATTGCAACAGTTTGTCTAGCATGGATGATTAGGTCCCTTAATTGAGCCTGTGAAACTGAGGCTCCGCTAGCCTTAAGTAACTGTTTTAATACTTTCATATAATGTTTCTGCTGTGCTAATAACTGTGGTCCCATGATGAAAACTCAGCTTGACCCAACTTCCCCCAGAACTTGGTAACTTTGAGTGGGCACCAATGACTTGCTGATTACTCACTGACTTGACCGCGCGGTTCCTTTCTTCACCTTTGTTTTCCGGGGGGTCCGTCGCTTTTCCTTCACGCTTCCTTCGCAGCTTTCCTCATGAGGGCAGTCCTCACTCTTCCTAGGCAGCTTGCCTCAGGAGGGGCTCCAACTGCGGGGAGTCTGTTTCTGCAGACCCCTGACTGGCCTCACACGGCTTTCCTCACAGGGCTTTCCTCACACGGGTTTCCTCACACAGGCCACCAGCTGAGGTATTGCTCCTCACACGTGAAGGCATTAGCCGCGGGGTCTGCCCTCAGACCCTGACCCAAACGACAGATGAATAAAACGTACACTGACACACAGATATTCTGTTTTGCCAGTCCAGCTGAGTGTCCAGCCGCCTGCACACCTAGAGAGGTTTGTCACTGTGGACGGCCCTGAGCAGCTCGAACTCCAGGCATTTATTTAGTATACAATTAACAACAGAAGCTTTGAGTAAACTTGAGTAAACACACTTTGAGTAAACTTGAGTAAACACACTTGTGGATAATTAACATGGTTAAGAGAGTAGTTCTAGGAATGATTAAAACTCAGGTACCACGGTCTCAGGTAAATACTATCAGGCCTCTCAGCCCAAGCTAAGCCAGATGGCCTGAAGCAACTGAAGATCCACAAAAGAAGTGAAAATAGCCTTAACTGATGACATTCCACCACAGTGATTTGTTTCTGCCCCACCCTAACTGATCAATGTACTTTGTAATCTCACCAACCCTTAAGAAGGTTCTTTGTAATCTCCCCACCCTTAAGAAGGTTCTTTGTAGTTCTCCCCACCCTTGAGAATGTACTTTGTGAGATCCACCCCCTGCCCACAAAACATTGCTCCTAACTCCACCGCCTATCCCAAAACCTTTAAGAACTAATGATAATCCACCACCCTTTGCTGACTCTCTTCAGACTTAGCCCACCTGCACCCAGGTGAAATAAACAGCCTTGTTACTCACACAAAGCCTGTTTGGTGGTCTCTTCACAGGGACGCGTGTAACAAATACCATTAGGGGGCAATATCCTTGGTAGACCTCCCCAGAGAAGGCCATCTGGCTCAAAGGTTAGTTAATTGAAGTTGGGTAAACAGACTTAACTGGGGAAGCCTCTGTTGTCCCTTGTATTTACCCTATGACCTAATGCTCTAAGGTAAGAACTGGCCGCCTTGGCCTGTTCAATTATTACAAGCTATGTAAACTTTCGGCCTTCTAAAAGGTTTGTGACTATTTCCTATAACTTTCCCTAATATTTCCCTTTATTCTTTCTGCCACCATCCTGAGTGAATCCCAACAGTTTTCTCCCCTTGCAAAATGTACCACGTTCAAAAGTTTGAAGATCACTGTCTTTATTATCATCTTGCCTTTCATTTTGGCCTTCCTTCTCCAAACACGCACACACCCCCACACACACCAAATCACTTTAGTCTGTCCTAGCAAAAAGTGATCTATGGTCCTTTTTGGCACACAAAAAAATACAATTGTGTCATTCCTTTTACTCGGAAGACTTCAGTTTTTACATTGCCTTCAGCAGTGATTATTAACCTATTTTAGGTACTTATACTTTTGAGAATAAATAATAAAGCTTTTTACTTTCTTCTGAGAAAAATATGCAATATAATTTTATATAATTTTGGAGGTTTAGCAACACCTCTGAAGCCTATCCATAGATCTTCTAGGGATCCTTCACCTAACCTATACAATAAAAATGGAATTTCCTTTTAATAGCATAAAAGATTCTTCATTTACCCAGCCAAGCTCTTCACTTCCACTTTCTACTTTGAAAGGAACTTCCACAGCATACCATATTCTTTCTTATACCTTTTTTCCTTTCTTTTCTTTTTTTATTTTATTTTTTATTTTTATTTTTTTTTGAGACAGAGATTCCTTCTGCAACCCAGGCTGGAGTGAGTGCAGTGGCACAATGATGGCGCTACCTCGTGAGCTCAGGTGATCCTCCTACCTCAGCTTCCAGAGTAGCTAGGACTACAGGCATGTAACATCATGCCTGGCCAATTTTTTTTTTAAGAGACAGAATCTCACTATGTTGCCGAGGCAGTGTTTATTTTTAAATAAACTTTTAATTTCAGCATAGTTTGAGATTTACAAAAAAATCCTGAAGATAAGACAGTTCATTTCTGTATTCCCCACACCCACTTTCCCTTATTACTAACATCTTACATCAATAAGGTACCTTTGTTACAATTAATGAACCAATATTGATATGTTATTATTAGCTAAAGTTCATACTCTATTCAGATTTTTTAGTTTTTACCTAATGCCCCTTTTCTGTTACAGGATCCTATCCAGGGTGGCATATAACATTTTGTTGTTGTATCTCTTCTGGCTTCTCTTGGCTGTGACAGTTTCTCAGAATTTCCTTGTTTTGATGAGCTTGGCAGTTTTGAGTACTCATCAGGTATTTTGTAGAATAATCTTCATTTGAGGTTTGTCTGATGTTTTTCTTATGGTGAGACTGGGGTTATATGTTTTGGAGAGAAAGACCACAGAGGCAAATACCATTTTCATCACATCATATCAAGGATGCATACTTATCAATGTGGCTTATCACTGTTGATGTTAACATTGATCTACTGACTGAAGTAGAATTTGTCAGGTTTCTCTCCTGTGAAATTATTCTTTTCCCTCGTTTCCATACTGTATTCTTTGGAAGGAAGTCACTATGCACAGCCTCAATACTTCCTTGAGGGCAGAGTATCTACATAAAGTACTTGAAATTCTCCTGCATGGAAGATTTGTCTATTCTTCCTTTCTTTTATTTTTAAATATGTTTACCTCTACCTGGAATGCTGAAATAACACAATTTCAAAATGTCAGTGGCTTAACACGCATTTTATTCCTTATTCATTCCAAAATGCCTATCACAGTTTAGCAAGTGGCTCTGCTCCACATAGTCACTCAGACGCTCAGGCTGCCGGAGGTTCCACCATCAGGTAGCTAGCTACACTTTCTGAAACATACAACTTCATCAGTTGCCAAGGAAAAGTAAGAGCACTGGAGTGTTTTGCACCAGCAGTTAAATGTTTCAGCTTAGAAATGACATTTCTACCCATAGCTCATTGCCTAGACTTAGCTACATCACTCCGCCTAACTCTACAAGGGGACAGGGAAGTATAATCCTCCTCTGTGCCTGGAAGGAGAGGGAACTAGATATGGGTGAGTATTGGAAGTTTCTACCACAAGTCTTCTACCCCACTTGTCCACTAAACAAAATTCTATTCTTCCCCCAATTCTCATTCAGCTGAAATTCTATGAAGCGTTCACCATCTCTTCCAGACAGACTTCAGGTTCCCTCCATGCTCCATCATCACTTTGTAGCTATCACCATTAAAACTATTACATTGGATTATAATTGTTGGTTTGCATGTTCTGTAGAAGAAAACAACCATGTTTTTTCACCTTGGTATCCTCAGCATCAATACAGTGCCTCTTACATAGAAAAATATTCAGTCAATTTTTATTCTTGGCTGGGCGCAGTGGCTCACACCTGTAATCCCAGCACTTTGGGACACTGAGATGGGAGGATTGCTTGAGCCCAGGAGTTTGAGACCAGTCTGGGCAACGTAGTGAGACCCTATCTCTACAAAAAATGAGAAATCAGCTGGGTGTGCTGGTGGTGCACCTGTAGTCCCAGCTACTCAGGAGGTTGAGGCAGGAGGATCCCTTGAGCCCAGGAGGTTGAGACTGCAGTGAACTATGATCACGCCACTGTACTTCAGTCTGGGCAATAAGACCCTGTCTGTCTCGATTAAAAAAAAACTTTTATTATATTGAACTAATGAATAGATAAATTCTTAAACTTTGTAACCAAATGTTATACAGGACCTTATTCTATAATAAAATTATAGTGTTCTTAGCAATGAAAGTGGAATTTTTTTGTCCATATTAAATTTTTTTTTTTTTTTTTGAGACAGGGTCTCTCTGTGTCACCCTGGCTGGAGTGCAGTGGTACAATCTCAGCTCATTGCAACCTCTGTTCCTCCTGGGCTCAAGCAATCCTCTTGCCTCAGCCTCCCGAGTAGCTGGGACTAAGGCGCATGCTACCACGCCCGGCTAATTATTTGTATTTTTTGTAGAGATGGGGTTTTGCCATGTTGCCCAGGCTGGTCTCGAACTCCTGGGCTTACACGATTTGCCCACCTCGGCCTCCCAAAGAGCTGGGATTACAGGTGTGAGCCATGGCACCCAATCCCCTATTAACTTTAAATGAAGTATTGAATCATACCTTCAAATAGTTTCTACCCAGATTGGTATGAGAAATCCTGTGCCTCAAACATATGGTCTTATTTCTAATGTATTCCAGAGGGCTAAGTTAACTGTGTATTTTTAAAAATTATTCTCTCGGCCAGGCACAGTAGCTCACATGGTGGATCATACCTATAATCCCAGCACTTTGGGAGGCTGAGGTGGGCGGATCACTTGAGGTCAGGAGTTTGAGACCATCCTGGCCTGGTGAAACCTGTCCCTACTAAAAAATACAAAAATTAGCTGGGCATGGTGGTGGGCGCCTGTAATCCCAGCTACTCAGGGAAGTTGAGGCAGGAGAATTGCTTGAATCCAGGAGGCGGAAGTTGCAGTGAGCTGAGATTGTGCCACTGTATTCCAGCCTGGGTGACAGAGCGAGACTCCATCTCAAAAAAAAAAAAATTAAATAAATAAATAAAAACTATTCTCTCTCTTTTTTTAACTCTAAGCTATATTTTGTAATTATTTTCTAATAATTAAAAAAACACATTCCTCTGTAGTTTGTGGTTGGCTTTTATTTAGAACTTTGTGTTACTTCATTGCATCATATGTAACGTCAGAATCCTGTTTTAAAACACATGTTCAGAAGAGAAGAGCAACAATTTAATTGTAGGTGGGATGTATTTTTTATACAGTGACTTTACCAAATTTGTTGAGTGGTTACATTGTACAAGTGAAGGTTTCTTACTGGGAAGGCAGAAGCAAAGGTTTAAAGGAGCATAAGCCCTCGAAAAGCTCATGATAGCAGTTATAAAGACAATACAACAGCAAACAATAATAGAAAATGAAGTCATAGATGATATGTAATGACATATGTGTGTTTTTAACACTAAGTCCTCTGAGTTCAAGAATGGCACGTTCTGGGTGTGGAGTGGGTCAGAAGAGAGAAAACCTGGAGTTAAGGGGATTAGTAAGAAAGCCATGTACTAACATGAAGTTATCATGAAGTCCATACATGAAATTCAGGTCTAAAATAGATGCTACACTCCACAGAGGAGATTTAACTTGCAGTGTGATTGAATTCCTTACATAGATATGATAATTCTAAGTGTAGTTTTTATGTGTTTAGGTTTATTTTACTCCCTTTGTTTTCACAAAAATTAGTAGTCAAGTAGTAGCAGATTAGGGTTTAGCATCCTATTTTTAAAATAACATTTCTAATTTACTGTTAGTCTTCAATTACATGTCAGTTTGAAACAGCAGTCAAGGAAATTATTTTCTAAAATAAATGTGTGATCTCAACACAGTGTTTCTGGAACTAAAAAAACCCACACAAAATAGATGTGTGAGACACTGATACCAGCCCTTATCCTCTTTGGGTCAGGCTGACTTGATTGCAAGGCCTGGGTGTAAATGGCACTACATTTGTGGGTTCAGTTTCTACTTGACTGAGGTGGAAATAGAGTATTTCCATGCTGGCAACCAGCTACCTCACAGAGGTATTGTGTACTGGAGTTGGAAATAGAGTATTTCCATGCTGGCAAACAGCCACCTCACAGAGGTATTGTGTACTAGAGTTGGGGGAGTGAGGGAGGAAAGAATAAGATAGTGTAGCTGCACCCAAAACAACTTAGAGTGATGCCAAAAGAGAGACCAGCATCATCTTCAAGTAAATGTGTATATGCAAATCATCGTTAATAGGAAGTTAAACATTTTAACTTATTTGCTTTCTAAGGGTTGCAGTAAAATGTTTGTCAAGAGGGAGTAAAATGCAACCCACATATATGACCCCATTATCCTATTTACAACAAATTTCTTCCCTCTTTCATCAACATTTTGTGATGTTACCAGAGCTCATTTACAGGTTGAAATCACTAGTTCAGTGAGAGGGAATTTAATAAATATACAATTAGATAGGCGCAAATGAAAAGATTATACAGAACCTAGCTTACAAAAACAAAATGGTAAAAATAAAAACAAAATTTTAAAAATACAAAATGAAAAGATTATACAGAACTTATATCCAAAGATCTTATTTAATACAGAAATGAAATCAGAATGCCCTTCTAGAAAGAGGAAGTTAAAATGGGAACACTTCTGTTTCTTTGCAAACAAGACTGCATTTCATCACATCTGAAAAATCAGTTGATGATTTCATTATAATTTCTCAATGTTGAATGCCCAGTTATTGTGTAAATTGAGGAATGATCTTTGTAACTTGACCAAAGTGGGAAGAAAAGTGTTTGTTTATAATGGGAAAGGGGGAAGTGAGATCTAGCCAAAGTTCTAATTACTTTGGCCTTGGAAGCTTAAAGATAATGGAAATAATAGAGCATTGAGAAAGAAATCAAAAGCCCTTCAGAATGATTGTATCAGTTGTTCAACACTGACAGCCTCTAAGCGTTCAATGGCATTGCCTGCTGTTAGACCAAACTCTTAGAGAAAACTCACACCTTTAACATAAATATATAAACCAGGTGTGGTGGTGTCTGGCCTATAGCCCCAACTGCTCTGGAGGCTGAGGTGGAAGGATCACTTGAGCCCAGGAGTTCAAGGCTATAGTGTACTATACCCATGCCTGTGAATAACCACTGCACTCCAGCCTGGGCCACATAGCAAGACCCATCTACAAAATATAACAAAATAAAATAAAATTAAAATTAAAAAGAATATAATGGGTTGGCACAACTATATCAGGAACTGAAATCAACGTTATAGCTTGTCAAAGCGTGAGAATTGGGTCTTAACAGAATTTATTCCTTTTTCACTTCAATTTTTACAAGGTAGTATGGTAGACTGAAAAAAGGATGTAACTGAACCTGAATCCAAATCCCTGCTCTCACATTTATTAGCTATATTTCTTTATTTATTTGTAAAATTGAAATAATACTTATAAAATCCCTGTAAGAATTATAGGTAATGTTTATTAATGGACTAGCACTTTGTAAGTATGTGATAAACAAAAGCTAGTATTGTTTCCTTTCCCTTTTTTCTTAATCTCCAAACAGTCTGAGTAATCACCAGTTTAGGAGGCTGACTATTCAACCTCCTAAATATCTCTTGAGCTCTCTCAGTTCTCTCCACAGGCAATCATCACCTGCCATCTGGATTATGTGTCAGTTCTCTAGCAATTCTCTCTGAAGCCAATATAGAGTGATTTCTTTAAAAATTTTGAGGCTGTTACTCTCCACTTTAATACTCATGAATAGTTTTTCATTGTCTTTGGGATTAAATCCTAAATCCCACTCTCTTTGGGATTAAGTGCCTAGATGTGGTCCTGCCCCTCCCACCCTGACCTCAATCTCATTTCTCTTTGCCACTTTATCCAGTGGCAAATGTCTTTCACCAGACATTCTAGCACTTACAGATTTAAAGTCCAAATATCTTTTTATTTTATTTTATTTTTGAGACAGAGTCTCGCTCTGTGGCCCAGGCTGGAGTGCAGTGGTGCGATCTCGGCTCACTGCAAGCTCCAACTCCCAGGTTCATGCCATTCTCCTGCCTCAGCCTCCCCAGTAGCTGGGACTACAGGCGCCCGCCACCATGCCTGGCTAATTTTTTGTATTTTTTAGTAGAGACGGGGTTTCATCGTGTTAGCCAGGATGGTCTCCATCTCCTGACCTCATGATCTGTCCGCCTTGGCCTCCCAGAGTGCTGGGATTACAGGCGTGAGCCACCGTGCCCAGCCAAGTCTAAATGTCTTTACCAGACATTCTAGCACTTCTTTCAGGGTCTTCATCAACCTGTTCGTGCCTCTTGCCTCTGGGTTTTAGAACATGCTGTTTCAGCCCCACTCTCTCTCCACAATTTCCCTACCTCTCTCATTTGGCTAACTACAACTCATCATTCAGGTCTCAATTAGAACCTCCTAGACAGGTTTATCACTTTTGTTAATTTCTTCTATAAATACATTGTTTCTATTCTGAAGTACTCACCACACTTAAAATTGTTTTCAATCAGCATGACTTACTATTCTACAAACTCTATTAGGGCAAGGATGTTACCTGCCTAGTTCCTACCAGAACCTGAGCTCCTTGCACGGTGCTGCCTAGCAGTTAGTAGCTGCTAGATAAGCATTGTCAAACAAATTATTTCCCAATAAGTGCGTGAGAGTATGGCACATGGCAAAGGCAACAACTGTAAGAAGCATATTAAAAGCAATTTAAGAGCTTAAAAGCCAGGATGCCTTTACAAAAGTGTTTTTGAACTTTAAACATAACTCTGAAAGAGTCTTAACTCTAACTATCCCTTTAACAGAAATGTTGTTACTTTTTAAAAACTATTTTCAGTGATTCTTTCAGATATGGCCTACTCTCTTTGCTCTCTGCCTTTGCTTATATGACTTTCTCTATTTAGAACACTGCCCACCTAACCTCAATTCCTCCAGTCCCCTGGCTGGCTTGTACTTCTTGAAGACTTTGCGGAATTAGGAGGCTTTCCATAGGCAGAGTAGGTGGGGAAGGGCATAGCAGATTGAAGAGATGGCAAGAGAGAAGGCAAAGAACAGAGTAAATGCACAGCAAATACCAGAAATGGTGAATTCTCCTCTGTGGGTGGAGGTAAAATGCATGGCAGAGCCTGGCAATACCCTTACTAGGCTAGTGCTACTTATTAGGCCAAGTGATCAAGTGACAGATTTTAAATACAGTAACATGTGGCTTTTGCTAGAGACTATTGTAGCACAGTATTGGCAATATAGTAGAAATAATTCCCTATTACCCAGTCCTCGGATGTATGGTGAATAGTATTATTTCCTTTCAGAATTAACCAGTTACCTGACCCAAAATGCAGCAGCAAGACCATAGCATAAATTAAAGTTTGATGATTTCTGCAGTTTGGATGGTGTCAGAAAACCTGGGAAGGAAATTATCTAGCTTGTTTGATCTATTTTGCAATGAGCAGGACCTCAAATTACAGGGATATTGAGTGCTAAAAGAACAGATTGCATGCCAGTCACAACGGGAAGAAAGAAAACAAAACTAATCCTTGGGAAAAAATACACTAATCTGAATTAGCCAAGCCTAAATTAGTTACCATTTCCTAGCAACCCATGTGCCTCAGGAGCCAACGAAATGCCACCTTTGGATTGGGGTCAAGTCCTACTCCTCACAGGGACTGCTCCCACAAGGAAGCCATTCTGACCCGTGGCCAGGCTCCTGGACTTGCAGGGGACAGCTGGAGGGGTGCTCGTCCTGTTTCACGAGACTGGTACACAGCACCTCCATTAGTTGAGAGAGTAATTACTTCACTTTAACCTTTCAGCATCTAGTGTCCCCCAGAGAGTCAGAGGGTATTGCTCCCTACACCCCAACTCTCTCACTCCCTGCATATTCTGCTAGCAGCCACGCTGCCACAACAGAAATGAGACTAGGTCCTCTGCACCCCTAAGCCAAACCCCACAGGGCAGCCTCAGCTGAGTCATGAGTGAAATGCCGCTGTCCTAACCACAGTATCCCAACGTCCTCAATAACTTCGAGGAAGCAGCACTGCTTCACTACCAAGTGGTTACTTGCACACCCTGACAAAAGCCATGCCAGTGCTTCTCTCCATTAACACAATTTAGATTTACCTGCGTCAGTGACATTCTGAGGGTTTTTAAATTCATTTTTCTCATATACTGACACAGGTAATATTTTAATTACTTAATACTAATAGCAAAAACAAGATTGCAGGAACAAAAAATCTATAGTAATGACATAAATTATAGTGAAACAAGATTATAAAGACAGAGAGGTCTGTCTCACTAGTGTGAGCTATTGAAAATCCAAACACTGGCTGGGCATAGTGGTTCACACCTACAAGCTCAGCACTTTGGGAGGCCGAGGTGGGAAGCTCACTTGAGCCCAGGAGTTCGAGACCAGCCTAAGCAACAAAGAGAGACCCCATCTATACAAAAATTAAAATAATTAGCCAGGTGTGTGGTACGTGCCTGTAGTCCCAGCTACTCTGGAGGCTGAGGCAGGAGGGTGGCTTGAGCCCAGGAATTCAAGGACGTAGTGAGTTATGTTGTGCCACTGCACTCCAGCCTGGGTGACAGAGTGAGAATCTGTCTCTAAAAAAAAAAGAAAAAAGAAAAAAAGAAAGAAAAAAAAACGACCTAGGGTTACCTCTGGAGCTAATGGTGACCTGAATCGTGACACCAACGAGCTAGTTTCAGGAAAATAGTTTAATCCCTAGAGCCCCCAGGAATCATCTCATTTTCTGCTTTCCAATCACATTCTAATCAGAGCAAGCAAGTCTAGATCAAATAGTGTGGTTAGTATAGATCTGATATACCATAAATGGACGTAAGAAACATCACTTTGCTTTCTTCCCAAATCTAACAAAATATGTCTCTAAGCACCTCTTCCCCCGTGTGGTGAGGCATTGTTAGTTTTGTTAAACTTTTTAAGCTGATGTCCTGTCCAGGAGCTTCTAGGAGTCTCAAAAAACTACAAAGTTCAGAAAACCTGGGGAAGACCTTAGAGCTTCAGCCTGTCATGGTCATGCCTGAGCTATTCAGACAGTGGTTATTGCCCAAGCTGACGTGGTCATTCAAAGGCAGGAGGCTCCTTTTCCAAGCTTTGTTGATGCCCAAGGCAGGGCAATTTGTGTTCAATTTCTCCAACAACTACATGCCATCCAAGAGACTTCTTGCCACTGCCCTGGACCCCACATGGGAGTGAGATGCAGAGTGCTACCAGTCTTGGAATCTGCTACCATTATCACCCTAGATATGACCAAATTTGCCTCGTTAATACCCAGCGGCCTCAGAAAGTCCCTCCCCAGCTTATCCTCTCTCAGTGGAACTTGTTTTCCAAACAACAGCCTGGATAGGAGGTAGCATTCTGGAAGCATGGCAACTTGTGTTTCTTCCAGGAAATATAAATGCTATTCTTGCAAGAGTTTTAAATCTTTTTTTAAAAAACTGTGTAATAAAAGTGACCCTACCAAAAGAACACTGTACTGAGATATTCTTTCTAGTTAATTTTTACATGGCTTATATGTTATCTGAATGCTGCTCATGAAGCTCTGTGAAAATATTTCGCTTATTTCCATTGAAATTTAAGAGAACACAGATCTGGGTACAGATGAGCTGCAGAAGAAAGATGATGATAAAGTAACATGACTGCCTCAACAAATATGACAGAGTTCATATATGCAGATGAATGAGGAAGGCTTCAAAATAATCACCCTTACTTTAGTAATTCCACTATCGATTAAAATATTTTTGGAACTTCTCTCTTAGAGTCCCCTTCAAGGCCTAAAACACACTCCTCTCTTTCTCCCTCCCTTTCTTTCTCTTATTTTCTCTTATCTCCCTGAGATATTCGTTATAGCTTATGTCTTATTTTGTTTTGCCTCTGTTTCCTTTGAGTTCTTCTTCTCGAAATGTTTCTTTTGATATTAATGTCACTCTGTCTTTCACAATAGTGTCTTTCATCAAGTATCCTCCACTGATTGTGTAAGAGTAATACAAAGCACCAAGGAGCTGAGCAGAAAATCTGTAAGCCTGGGTACGTCTCACCACAGGCAATTGATCAAGACTGGCCATTTCACTGTGGGCCCCAAATATTAATATCTATAGGTCTTTTCTCCTGGTTCAGACATTTACTCCAGAGAGGATCCTATTGGCTCCTGCCTGGGAGGTGGTTTTGGCAGCCAGACATCAAGGAGCTCAGTTCAGGCAGGTTGAGAGCTGGGTGACTGGCTTACTGCTCAGAATGCAGATTTGCATTTAATGCCCCTATTTTCATTATGGCATTATCCCCTGTCTTTAGTCATGCCTTGAGTCCTAAGTCCAGAGTCTTTGGTTCATCCTCTCCAAAGAGTGATCTTCTCATCCTTCTTCTAGGGTGGGAAAAGGCAGCAACCTGGTTTCCTGGTCTGGGGGAGAAAATCTGGGGCTTAACTGTTCCATATACAGATTTCCAACCTGTCTTCCTGTTTATAGCACTGCCGTGCAGTCCTGCCTTCAGAATTACTGAGTTTTTTTCCAGGATCTAGGGCACAAACTAGTTTGCTTTGTATTGATTTCCCTTTTTCCAGGCACTCAGGTGTCAGCTTTCTCCATTATCCTAAGTTAGTTACTACTCAACCACTCTGTATTATAAACTTTTATTGACATTTCTCATCTATTATCATCTCTTCTGCTTTTCCTTTGCCCTTATTGGTTTATACCTTTTCAAACTCCTTTTGTTGATACTTTAATGGAATTTGGAAAGTGAACAGAGAGAAACCTGTGTGCCCATCCCACCACTTTCAGCAGAAGGCCTAGTGGCTTATGATTGTAATCACAGCACTTTGGGAGGCCAAGACAGGAGGATTGCTTGAGCCCAGGAGTTCAAGACCAGCCTTGGCAACATAACGAGACTCTGTCTCTACAAAAAATGAAAAATTAGCTGTGTGTGGTGGTACACGCCTGTAGGTGGGAGGATCACCTGAGCCTGGGAAATCAAAGCTGAAAAAACATAATTGCACTGCTTCACTCCAGTCTGGACAACAGAGTGAGACCCTGTGATATAGTTTGGTTATTTGTGCCCATCCAAATCTCCTGTTGAATTATAATCCCCAGTGTTGGAGGTGGGGCCTGGTGGGAGGTGTTTGGGTCATGGGCGCAGATCCCTCGTGGCTTGGTGCTGTCCTGGTGATAGTGAGTGAGTTCTCACGAGATCTGGTTGTTGTAAAGTGTGGCCCCCGCCAACCCCCGGCAACTCTCTTGCTCCTGCTCCACCACGTGAAATACCTGTTCCTCCTTCACCTTCCTCCATAATTGTAAGCTCCCTGAGGCCTCTCCAGAAGCAGATGCTGGTGCCATGCTTCCTGAACAGCCTGCAGAACCATGAGCCAATTAAATCTCTTTTCTTATAAATTACCCAGTGTCAGGTATTTCTTTATAACAACATAAGAATGGCCTAACAGAGCTGCGTGCAGTAGCTCCTGCTTGTAATCCAAGCATTTTGGGAGGCTGAGGCAGGAGGATTGCTTAAGTCCAAGAGTCCAAGACCAGCCTGGGCAACACAGCAAGACTGTGTTTCTACTAAAAATTTAAAAAGTTGGCCAGGTGTGGTGGCACACACCTGTGGTCCCAGCTACTCGCCTGTGGTCCCAGCTACTTGGAAGGCTGAGGCAGGAGGATTGCTTGAGCCCAGGAGTTCACGCTGCAGTGAGCCAAGATTGTGCCCTTGCACTCTAGCCTGGGCAACAGAGCAAGACCCTGTCTCCAAAACAACAAAACAAAACAAAACTGGCCTAACACCCTATCTAAAAACAAAACAAAACAGAGGGCTATAGCACATTCTTTAGAATATCTTAAATTATGGCAAATCTCCATCTTTTCAGGATGGTTTTAGTTTTGGGGAATAGTCAAAAGTGTGAGAAACCCTTGGTCAAATTCCCTTTCCTAGGCCTGAAGCCCCCAACACTCACCATAAATAATTATTTTTCTCTATCTTGAGAAACAAATAAGTTGAGTAAATCATGACTATTGCCCATTGTAATACAACAAAGTAATCTAGGGTCTGTAAGCAACTTTCCTAAAAAGATAAAATGCATACATTGCATCAAAAAGAACATGCAGTACATACAAAATTTCTGAGGAAGAAAAATTATCTCTGCCCTCAAATCATGCTTACTTGCTATTTTATTTTTAAATAGATTGCTCATTAAACCTACCTCAAATGGAATGACAGGATTATAAATGGATGTTATAACTGCCCTTAACTTCTTCCCCAGGGGAGATAATTAAGGGGATCAAAAACACTTCTTCCCTTTGCAGTAGTCACATGATAACATGCTATCACTTTGGTTCAGGTTGGCAAGCAAATATTTGCTTGTTCCACTTCCAAGAAAGTATAAGGTCATAACTATTTAAACATTTGAAAACAAAAATTAATCTTATCAGCATAAGGCTGAAACCAGCATATGTAATAACTGGCTGTTCTTTAGTATTGAGTTGGGAACGGCATAAAGGGGACCAAAGACTAACTCTTTTTTTCCTTCTTTCTTTCTTTTTTTTATTTTTGAGACACAGTCTCACTCTAGTTGCCCAGGCTGCAGTGCAGTGGTACGATCTCAGCTAACTGCAGCCTCAACCTCCTGGGTTCAGGTGATCCTCTGACCCTCAACCTCCCGAGTAGCTGGGACTACAAGCACATTTTTAAATTTTTTTTTATTTTTAGTAAATATAGGGTTTTGCCATGTTGCCCAGGCTGGTCTCCAACTCCTGGTCTCAAGCAGTCCTCCTGCCTCGGCCTCCCATAGTGCTGGAAATACAGGCATGAGCCACTGCGCCCAGCCAAGACTAACTCTTTTAATTGGTTTCTGTCTCTTTGGGTCCTGAAAATCTGTCTCACTATTTATTATTATTATTATTATTATTATTATTTGAGACAGAGTCTCACTCTCTTTCCCAGGCTGGAGTGCAATGGCACAATCTCGGCTCACTGCAACCTCCGCCTCCTCGGTTCAAGCGATTCTCCTGCCTCAGCATCCCAGGTAGCTGGGATTATAGGCACCCACCACCACACCCAACTAATTTTTCTATTTTTCGTAGAGACGGGGTTTCACCATGCTGGCCAGGCTGGTCTCGAACTCCTGACCTCAGGTGATCAGCCTGCCTTGGGCTTTCAAAGTGCTGGGATTACAGGCATGAGCCACCGCAGCTGGCCATTTTTTTTTTCTTTCTTTTTTTTTTTTTTTTTTTTGAGACAGAGTCTCACTCTGTTGCCCAGGCTGGAGTGCAGTGGTGTGATCTCAGTTCACCACAACCTCCGCCTCCCGGGTTCAAGTAATTCTCCTGCCTCAGCCTCCCAAGTAGCTGGAATTATAGGCGCACCACCACGCCCAGCTAATTTTGTATTTTTAGTAGAGACGGAGTTTCACCATGTTGGCCAGGCTGGTCTTGAACGCCTGACCTCAGGTGATCCACCCACCTCAGCCTCCCAAAGTGCTGGGATTACAGGCATGAGCCACTGCACCTGGCCCTATTTATTATTGAAGAATCAAAATTAGGCCTAGCCTGAAAAATGAGATTATTCTTGATTTTTGAACAGGGTCCTTGAACTGTCATTTAAAACCAAATCTGGTAATCTTTAGAGGCCACTGATGAAAAATAAGGGTAACTACAAAGTGATGACACTTTGTGTGGCTCAGAATCTGTCCTCTTAGGCAGATACAGAAGTGCAGTTCTTTTTGAGTTCTGGTAGCATTGTTTTAAAAGCTGTGCACAGCCTCCTGAGATTGCTATTTTCAAAGGTAGCATTTAGTTGGATATATGTTTGGGTAGGTTTTATTTTTAAAATGCTGTTGCTTTCTAATGACCCCTTATGTTCTAATATGGAAAGGGGAGGCAAAGTATTGTGAAAAGTAGTTGGTAAAGTAGGCCGGATGTGGTGGCTCACACCTGTAATCCCAGCACTTTGGAAGGCCGAGGCGGGCGGATCACGAGGTCAAGAGATCCAGACCATCCTGGCCACATGGTGAAACCCTGTCTCTACTAAAAATACAAAAATTAGCTGGGCATGGTGGTACATGCCTGTAGTCCCAGCTACCTGGGAGGCTGAGGCAGGAGAATTGCTTGAACCCGGGAGGCAGAGGTTGCAATGAACTGAGATTGCGCCACTGCACTCCAGCCTGGTGACAGAGTAAGACTCCATCTCAAAAAAAAAAAAAAAAAGGTAGTTGGTAAAGTTGTTCACATGAACCTTATTTATAATAGTAAAACACTGATTTATAATAATAAAAAATTTGCTATAGTAACAAAAAGAGTCTAGAGTAAGAAACTAGCTGAGCAACGTGGTGTCACACTATACACCCATTAAGACAACAGGCACATGTGTCATGTCCATTTTGTGGAAAAGATATGTAAAATAATTTTAAGTAAAAAAGATAAATATAAAAAAGTGAATGCATACAAAACAATTTCACAAAATTGAATGTTACTCAAAAATCACAGCTCATTTTAAGCTGCACAAAATAGTCATTTTTTTCTTTATAATTGCTCAAATTCATAATCAAACAGAAGAAAGTTCCTGTCTTGGAAGTAGTGCTATGCCCCAATTCTTCCAGAGCCAGTACTTTAAACAATTCCATTTCATTATTTTCCTGTAGACTAATTCTTAGGACATCAGCATATCTCTCTTCAAGCATTAAAAAAATCTCTTTAGAGTCAGTGGATCAATAGACAGTTCCTGTTTTCCACACAACTGAAAGGGTGGAGCCCCCAAACCACAAGGGGAAGAAGGAAGTTAAAAGATGTTAAATACTGGGGCCAGCTCACCCTGGTCAGCCTAGCACTCTGACCTAGCAGTCAACATGAAGGCTCTCATTGTTCTGGGGCTTGTCCTCCTTTCTGTTACGGTCCAGGGCAAGGTCTTTGAAAGGTGTGAGTTGGCCAGAACTCTGAAAAGATTGGGAATGGATGGCTACAGGGGAATCAGCCTAGCAAACTGTAAGTCTACTCTCCATAATTCCAGAGAATTAGCTACGTATGGAACAGACACTAGGAGAGAAGGAAGAAGAAGAAGGGGCTTTGAGTGAATAGATGTTTTATTTCTTTGTGGGTTTGTATACTTACAATGGCTAAAAACATCAGTTTGGTTCTTTATAACCAGAGATACCCGATAAAGGAATACGGGCATGGCAGGGGAAAATTCCATTCTAAGTAAAACAGGACCTGTTGTACTGTTCTAGTGCTAGGAAGTTTGCTGGGTGCCTGAGATTCAATGGCACATGTAAGCTGACTGAAAGATACATTTGAGGACCTGGCAGAGCTCTCTCAAGTCCTTGGTATGTGACTCCAGTTATTTCCCATTTTGAACTTGGGCTCTGAGAGCCTAGAGTGATGCAGTATTTTTCTTGTCTTCAAGTCCCCTGCCGTGATGTGGGATTTTTATTTTTATTTTTATTTTATTTTATTTTATTTTTAAAGACAGTCTCACTGTGTGGCCCAGGCTGGAGTGCAGTGGCATGATCTCAGCTCACTGCAACCTCTGCCTTCTGGGCTCAAGTGATTCTCGTGCTTCAGCCTTCTGAGTAGCTGTGACTACAGGTGTGTACCACCACACCCAGCTAATTTTTTGTATTTTCAGTACAGATGGGGTTTCACCATGTTGGCCAAGCTGGTCTTGAACTCCTGGCCTCAAATGATCTGCCCACCTCAGCCTCCCAAAGTGGTAGGATTACAGGTGTGAACCACTGCACCCAGCCGACATGGGATTTTTAACAGTGATGTTTTTAAAGAATATATTGAATTCCCTACACAAGAGCAGTAGGAACCTAGTTCCCTTCAGTCACTCTTTGTATAGGATCCCAGAAACTCAGCATGAAATGTTTTATTATTTTTATCTACTCTACTTGATTAACTATCTTTCATTTTCTCCCACACAATTCAAGATGTGCCATGAGGAAAAGTTATTTTATAGTTTAGTACATAGTTGTCGATGTAATAATCTCTGTAGTTTTCAGATTGAATTCAGACATTTCCCCTCAATAGCTATTTTTGAATGAATGAGTGAAGGGATGAAATCACGGAATAGTCTTGTTTTCAAGATTCTAACTTGATATCCAAATTCACCTTTAGATATTATAAGAAAATTTCTATCAGAAAATCCTTATGTTTTTCTGATTAAAAAAAGCATTTTTCCATCAGCCTATGTATCTGCTATGAATTTACAAAATCTACTCAACAGCTCTGTTGATTTTTCTGTTCTTGGCTGAATGTTGCCTGAGGGATGGGAGCACGGGAAGGGTAAAAGCAATGGAACAAACATGTATTTTAATATTTTAAAAGTATGTTATATTGTTCGTTGGTGTTACAAGATGATTTGCATTACAAAAGGATTCTCTTACAAGTCCCTTATCTTAACACTAAAGTGCTAAGATATTTTATAAGTAAATCTTTATACTTATAAAACAAATCAGTAAAATAGAAGTAGCTAAGTAGAACTGATTTTGCTATAGAGTATAAGTCACTTAGTGTTGCTGTTTATTACTAAAAATAAGTTCTTTTCAGGGATGTGTTTGGCCAAATGGGAGAGTGGTTACAACACACGAGCTACAAACTACAATGCTGGAGACAGAAGCACTGATTATGGGATATTTCAGATCAATAGCCGCTACTGGTGTAATGATGGCAAAACCCCAGGAGCAGTTAATGCCTGTCATTTATCCTGCAGTGGTAAGACAAGCTAATATTTGACCAATCTGGTTATACTTACAAGAATTGAGACTCAATACAAATGAAAAAGCCTTGAAAGGTTCATGAGGGACCTAGAAAAACTACATCTCAACTTCCAGAAAGTCATTATTATTTTCCTCATAATTCCCTGAGTAAGAAATTAAAGAAGTGGTATCATAAAAGGTTGATGTTTTTTAATATACAGAAGTTTCTGGAATGACCTATTAATTTACTGTCAATGGCCTTACTGATGCTTTGTCCAGAACAATGCCATTGCTCCTGCTTACTTTGGGGAGGTTTTGGGATAATTTAGTTGTATGGTCCTTTTTCAATTGTTTTACTTTTTTTTTTATGAAATGTTCTAAATGTATAGAAAATTAGAGACATTAGTATAATAAACAGCCATATGCCCATTATGCACTTTAAAAGTTGTTAACATTTTGCCATAGTTGCTTCTTCTATGCCTTTTTTTTTTTTTTTTTTTTTTTTTTTTTTTTGCTGAGAGTTTTTTGTTTGGTTTTGTTTTGTTTTATTTTGAGACAGGGTCTCCCTGTCCCCAGGCTGTAGTGCAGTGGCACCATCACAGCTCACTGCAGCCTCAAGTGATCATCCCACCACAGCCTCCCAAGTAGCTGGGACTACAGGTGTGCACCACCATGCCTGGCAAATTTTTGAAATTTTTAGTACAGGCAAATTCTGTGTTGCCCAGGCTGGTCTTGAACTCCTGAGTTCAAGCAATCTTCCCACCTCAGCCTCCTTAAGTGCTGGAATTACAGGCGTTAGCCACTGTACCTGGCTACTGCTGAGAGACTTTTAAGTGAATTAGGAACATGATGATATTCCATTTCTAAATTCTTTAGTTTACATCTTCAAAAAATACAGTTCCTGTAGAATTATTATTGTAAATAACAAATTAACTTAAGGATTTATTTATTTGGAGTGAAACAAATATTTTACTGAACTCATAAAAATAGAAATACCATGTGGAATCCTCAGTGTCAAAAATATTGCAGAAATCTTGCAAAGTTGATATTATTAAATTGTTAAATATTAAAATTCCCAATAAAGAACATTAATCTTATTTCTAAAATCCAGTTAATTAAAAAAATTTATATTATATAATAATATTTGGTCATTAAATAAAAATTAGAAAATACAAATAAGAAAAATAACACCCATAATCTTACTACCCAGAGGTTTATAACCATGGGTAAATTCTGGTATATATTCTTCCAGAATGTATATCAATCATGTGTATGAATGTTAAATTATATCATACACATATAAACCCACATACAAACATGTAAATACTGTGTGCTTTTGCAAAAATTAAATTGTATTATACACACGGCTTTACAATTTGCTTCTTATCACACAAAATTATTTGCATGTCAGCAAATACAAATCGGTTTTTAATGATCTTTTGCTCCATTTTCCAGATGAGAAAAAAATACAAATCTGTATCATCATTTTAAAAGAATGACTAGAATTTTAATATATGAATATTCTATAATTTACTGATCCAATTGTTACTATTGAGCACTTAGGTTGTTTCCATTTTTCCCTCATAAATTGCTATGAATAGCTTTTTGTATACATCTTTGGGTGCATTTCTTATTTCTTTTGGATAAATTTTCAATAATAGAACTGCTGAGTAAAATATCACTAGGTGTTTTTTTACAGTGTCTAGTGCAAAGAAGACCTTTAATCATTTTGTTAATACTTCCAGAGCTTCCAATGACTTTGGTAAATGAAGAAAAAAATGCTTCATTTCATGCTGAATGGGAGAGAATGAAGAGAGTTTTCCCCAACAATTACACATATATGGACTCATAGAAAATAATATCTTACCATTCTTTCCACAGCCTAACAGAAAAAAGCTGGCTAAACCTAAATTTAAAATAAAATATCTATTAAAGTTTTTATTCCTTACCACCTGTCTTTCAGCTTTGCTGCAAGATAACATCGCTGATGCTGTAGCTTGTGCAAAGAGGGTTGTCCGTGATCCACAAGGCATTAGAGCATGGTATGTTTTAAGTGTTAAAAGGGAAAACTATCTTACTCTACTGTTGATATATACAATGAGAGCAGACTTTTAAAGACCAAAGTATGCTAATGACACCTCAAAATTGCAGCTTTTGGCTTATGCTAAATGATGTATTACCTACATCCTTGAAGAAACAATCTACTTTAACTGATCCAGAATCTTACTCTTTTACTCCTCAATTTATTTTAGGGGATTTCTAGAGTTTTAAGATGCTTCACACTCTATCAGTTCCTTGTCATATCTTGAAATTCTTTTTAGAATAAGTAAGTGTGGGCCGGGCACAGTGGCTCACGCCTGTAATCCCAGCACTTTGGGAGACCGAGGCAGATGGATCACCTGAGGTCAGGAGTTCGAGACCAGCCTGCCTAACATGGCAAAACCCCATCTCCACTAAAAATACAAAAAATTAGCTGGGTGTGGTGGCAGGTGCCTGTAATCCCAGCCACTCGGGAGGCTGAGGCAGGAGACTTGCTTGAACCCGGGAGGTGGAGGTTGCAGAGGATTGCGCCATTGTACTTCAGCCTGGGCGACAGAGTGAGACTCTGTCTCAAATAAATACATAAAAAATAAATGTGGAATTCACTTTGCAGTTGCTGCTGTACAACGCACATTACTCAATCTTTATGTTCGGCATTCTATGCTCTACTGAGAAATTTGGGTAGGAGTGAAGTATTTTGTATACATATCTTCATTTAATAAATAGCAATAGCTGGGTCTATCTTACTATTTTATCTATTGATAAAATATTTTGTTTCCCCAAGGAGTGCGAAGTATGTATATTACAATGAAGATATGTTTTAACCTTTCACCATTTGCTTCATCTTTTTCTACAGGGTGGCATGGAGAAATCGTTGTCAAAACAGAGATGTCCGTCAGTATGTTCAAGGTTGTGGAGTGTAACTCCAGAATTTTCCTTCTTCAGCTCATTTTGTCTCTCTCACATTAAGGGAGTAGGAATTAAGTGAAAGGTCACACTACCATTATTTCCCCTTCAAACAAATAATATTTTTACAGAAGCAGGAGCAAAATATGGCCTTTCTTCTAAGAGATATAATGTTCACTAATGTGGTTATTTTACATTAAGCCTACAACATTTTTCAGTTTGCAAATAGAACTAATACTGGTGAAAATTTACCTAAAACCTTGGTTATCAAATACATCTCCAGTACATTCCGTTCTTTTTTTTTTTGAGACAGTCTCGCTCTGTCGCCCAGGCTGGAGTGCAGTGGCGCAATCTCGGCTCACTGCAACCTCCACCTCCCGGGTTCACGCCATTCTCCTGCCTCAGCCTCCCGAGTAGCTGGGATTACGGGCGCCCGCCACCACGCCCGGCTAATTTTTTGTATTTTTAGTAGAGACAGGGTTTCACCGTGTTAGCCAGGATGGTCTCGATCTCCTGACCTTGTGATCCACCCACCTCGGCCTCCCAAAGTGCTGGGATTACAGGCGTGAGCCACTGCGCCCGGCCACATTCAGTTCTTATCAAAGAAATAACCCAGACTTAATCTTGAATGATACGATTATGCCCAATATTAAGTAAAAAATATAAGAAAAGGTTATCTTAAATAGATCTTAGGCAAAATACCAGCTGATGAAGGCATCTGATGCCTTCATCTGTTCAGTCATCTCCAAAAACAGTAAAAATAACCACTTTTTGTTGGGCAATATGAAATTTTTAAAGGAGTAGAATACCAAATGATAGAAACAGACTGCCTGAATTGAGAATTTTGATTTCTTAAAGTGTGTTTCTTTCTAAATTGCTGTTCCTTAATTTGATTAATTTAATTCATGTATTATGATTAAATCTGAGGCAGATGAGCTTACAAGTATTGAAATAATTACTAATTAATCACAAATGTGAAGTTATGCATGATGTAAAAAATACAAACATTCTAATTAAAGGCTTTGCAACACATGCCTTGTCTGTTTTTATTTAGACTCCTATAGTGTCTCTGAAGAAAAGAATACAGATATTTGAAAAAATATGATTTGGTGCTCTTAATATCTCTTATATCGTCACTTACCTCACTTAAATAGTCAGATATTGCTGGAGAAAAATTCACAAGCATGCTGACAGGTCTCACTTTAAATTCATAACCATAAATCTCAAATGAGCCCTCAAGTCTGCCTGACCATTTTAGTTACTTCTCTACAATCCTTCCATTTTTATGTCCCTAGTCTCCAAAATGACTGTTACTATTTTACTTTTCCTCTTCTCTCTTCAAAGCCTCAAGACACACATTCAGCCTCCTCCTCTGCCCCCTTATCCTCCACCCTCCTCTGCTCTCAGCAGATAACCTGGCCTCATATTACACTTCTAAAACAAAAGCAACTTCATACCAAGCTTTCCCTTCTACATCCCAAAGCAGCAGTCATACCTTCCCACAGGCCCATCCTTCCTTCCTTCCCTCCTATTATCAGGATGAAGAGCCTCTGCTCCTGCCAACAGCACTGACTCCACATGCAGTTTCCCTCCCATCCCTCTCACTACTCCAAGTCAGGCTGTTTCCTGCATCCCTAGTTTGTCCCTTTTAGCTGGATCACCTCCATCATTCTACAGTCTGCCCTAGTAACCTTCCATCTTACAACAAATACTCCACTGACCCTACATAATCCTCCAACTGCAACTCCATTCTCTGCTCCCTTTACAGCAAGACTTCTGGGGAAGTATGTCTGTACTTACCAACTCCATGACCTCACCTCCCAGTGTCTTTTCAACCCTCTCTAATCTGGCTTCTATCCTCACCCAGCTGAAACTGCTCCTCCAGGATTTCTCCCATGATTCCTCAGTGCTAATTCCAGTGATCATCTTGTTCATCTCAGCAGCATTTGACAAAGTGAACCGCTTCATACTTTTAGCAGTTTTTTAATCCCTTGGCTTTTCCTTATTTACATCCTACCTCACTGACTGTTCTTTCTCAGTCCTTCTTGCTCACTCTTTCTCTGCTATTTAATTTCTAAATGTGAGAGTGCCTCAGGGCTCAAGTCTATAATAATTTTATATACTACATATTTTACTTATTTGTCTCTTCTCACCAAAATATAACTTCCAAAATGACAGAGGTTTTTCCACTTTTTAAAAAAACATTGAAATAAACTCAATCTTTTAAAAAATATAAAAGTACTGTACAAAGATCTTTTATTTTTCAGAACTGTTTTGAGAGTAAATAGCCAACATGATACCCAATGGCCCTGATTACATCAGTGTGTAATTCCTATAAAGACATTCTCCTGCATAAAACCTCAAAACAATTATCCAAATTAGGAAATTAACACTGATACATTACTACCACCTAGTCATCAGATTCCACTCAATTTCATCGATTGTCCCAATAAGACCTTCATAACAAAAGCATCTAATTCAGAATCATATTGTATTTGGTTGTCATGTTTTTTAAGTCTCTTTGAATCTGGATTATTTCCTCAGTTGTTTCTTTCTGGACTTTTTATGACCTTGCCACTTTTGAAGACCACAGACTAGTTATGTTATAGAATGTACCTAAGGTTTTTCTGGTGTTCTCTCGATTCCATTAAGTTATGCATCTTTGGTAGGAATACCACAGAAGTGATGTTCTCACTGCATCCTTTCAGGTGGCATTCAGTTTTTGCAGTTTTGATTTGCCCCATTATTGATGATGTTCACTTGGATCACTTGATTAAGGTGAGGCCTGCAAGCCATCTTCACTGTAAAGTATTTGGGGAGGAGGTGCCTTGAGACTACTGCTCATCAAATTTTCAGTTTGTTTGTTTATTTATTTAGAGGCAGGATTTCACTCTGTCGCCTAGGCTGGAGTGCAGTGGCGCGATCTCAGCTCACTGCAACCTCTGCCTCCCAGGCTTATGCAATCCTCCCGCGTCAGCCTCCTGAGTAGCTGGGACTACTCGCACGCGTTACCATGCCTGGCTAATTTTTGTATTTTTAGTAGAGATGGGGTTTTGCCATGTTGCCCAGGCTTGTCTGGAACTCCTGAGCTCAAGCAATCTGCCTGCCTTGGCCTCCCAGGTGCTGGATTACAGGTGTGAACCACCGTGCCTGGTCATGCATTTATTTATTATATCAGTATGGACCCATGGCTTCTATTTTATTCAAATCATAAGGAGTTATAGTCCATTACTATTATTTATTTTGATGTTCACACTGTCCTCGATTTGGCCAGTGAGCCCCTGCAAGTTGTCTTCTGTGCCATTTCGACATATTTCCATCATTCTTCAAGCACTTTCTTGTTTTCTGGCACAAGATATTCTAAGGCTCACCTTGTTCCTTCCTTGCTTCCAAAAATGGAAAAGGCATTTCTCCAAGGAGCCCTGATTCCTCAAAGTGCATAATAGTATTAAAAAAACAGGATCTGGGCACTAGGGTATCACTGTTTCCAGGCCCTATCAGTGAACAGAGCTGGAAGATATATGTATTTACACTATATTTATCTCTATATCTATCTATTTATATTGAAAATCATGAATCCACACCAATATCTCCAATTCTAATCTCACACCACAGGATTCACTCTAGTTTTCTTCTTTCGCATGTTTTAACTCTCTTCTCTGACAGTAAGTAACTTAGCATCCATTATACTCATTATCCTTAAAATGTATCCTTAGTACATTTACGTATTTGATGGGTTTGCCTGTATGTAACCAATTCCCCAACTCTGCCCAAGTGCTCTCCACTCAGGCTCTGACATCCCTCAGTGGGTTGCTTCCTTCCCCAACACCTGGACACCCTCCTTACCATGATACATCTCTGATTTTATAATATGCTGAACCACTGTCCTGATAGGAAGAATAGAAATTTTTCACTCATTCCACTTCTGTATTCTAAACACCTAGAAGAGTGACTGGAACATGGTACATGCTCAATCAATATCAGTTGATCGAATAAATCTCTTGCTGATTATTTAGTATGTTCCCTCCAAACTGAACATTCTAAGCTTTTTGTTTTTGAGACGGAGTCTCGCTCTGTCACCCAGGCTGGACTGCAGTGGCGCGATCTCAGCTCACTGCAACGTCCGCCTCCTGGGTTCAAGCGATTCTCCTGCCTCAGCCTCCCGAGTAGTTGGGACTACAGGTACTCGCCACCACGCCTAGCTCATTTTTGTATTTTTAGTAGAGAGGGGGTTTCACCATGTCAGGAGATCGATCTCCTGACCTCGTAATCCGCCCGCCTTGGCCTCCCAAAGTGCTGGGATTACAGGCGCGAGCCACCGCGCCCAGCCTTTTTTTTTTTTTTTTTTTTTTTTTAATTAACTCTTCAAGGCCACATGATTCCAGTACAACCGCTTGCGGGGTTCCAAGCCACTTCTTGGCTATGTAAATGCAGCACATAGACTAGCCATGTGAGGGCAGCAGAGGGCCACTACATAGGTGCAACCTTTGGCTTCAAAATTCTTGGACCATTCTGACGTGATTAAACTAAAAACGAATGAGTTTATGCATATCGAGATACCCTGAGGTGTACAAAGGATGAGTCAAGGTAGCGGAGAGAGAGTTGAAGAGTGACAGCTGAGAAACAGAGATAGGACATGTCCAAGAAGTGCCAGGATAACCCAACAACACAGGCTGATTGAGGAAACTGCCAGAGATTAGACAAAGTAGACTGAAGAGGGAAAGCAATGTTTGTTGGAGATTTTGCTTTAGTTTTTGATAAATATTTCTTAGTCATACCAATTGTTTTAAATATAATTACGCCCCCAAACCAAATTTCTACTCTTATTCTGGCAACAGAATAAAAATCAATATCAATGTTTGATCATTTTCAAAGAAACTCAGTTCCTATCTTGGTTGAAATGCAGTGACATCCATATGACAATTGAGCTCTTCATGTGGCACTAATATAACTAAGCCCTGAGCACATCCCTTGCACTTCTATTTAGTGAAGTCTTTTAAAAAGTATTTTCTTTACAGTTGTTAAGTGGAATTACTAAAAATTACAATCAGCAGTATTTTCTACTCTTTTAGCTTATTTTTTAAAATATTTATCTCCATGCTTTTCAATATTACACCTATATTGCTTCTTCTTGATTTTTCCATTTTAAGATACTGACTTCCTACTATGGAAGTTAAAGATTAAGCTCTATTTCCTCCTCCTCCATCCCCATCAAGCATAGTACCCTTCTCCAAAGCCCATCCTTCTAAATGTAATTCTTTTTTTGAGGGGGAGGGGGGATCAATACTCAGTTTTTTTTTGTTTTGTTTTTTTTTTTTTTTTGAGACGGAGTCTTGCTCTGTCACCCAGGCTGGAGTGCAGTGGTGCGATCTCGGCTCAAGGCAAGCTCCGCCTCCCGGGTTCACGCCATTCTTCTGCCTCAGCCTCCCAAGCAGCTGGGACTACAGGCGCCCACCACCACGCTCGGCTAATTTTTTTGTATTTTTAGTAGAGACGGGTTTTCACCGTGTTAGCCAGGATGGTCTCGATCTCCTGACCTCGTGATCCGCCCACCTTGGCCTCCCAAAGTGCTGGGATTACAGGCGTGAGCCACCGCGCCCGGCCAATACTCAGTATTTATGTAACAATAAATACAATTACTTTCCTTTCTTGCACAAGATTTTGTTTTCCCTAGAATTAATAGCTGCATAATTCTTACAGCCGCTTAGTTTTCTGTGTACCTGTCATGAGTTAAACTCCAAACTCTCGGTCAAATCTCCTCTTGATTCAACGCCAGCTGGAATTTTGTCAATCCCATCCTTCTGAAGCAGTGTCTCCCAAAGATTTCTGACCGAATCTAATCTAGATGCGTTGCCGTCTATGCCTATACACAGCTATTGTTCCCGGAGCTCTTTCAGTATCATCTTGGGATCTTACTATTTTCTGTGTTTGTTATTTATTGTATTTCCTGCATTTCATAATTTCCTCCTTCTTGGCTTATTCCCTCATTTTGGTGGATCAGATCTACAGGATCTTCCTGGAGGTACTGAGAAAGGTAAGATAGGTACTATTTTTTGTGTGTAGTGATTTAGCACATCTGAAACTCTATTCTATTCACACACTAGATTGGTAGTTGGATGAGTATTGAAGACTAAATCGGAAGTAATTTTCCCTCAGAGTTTTGAAGACAGTGCCGTATGGCTTCCTAGATTCTAACTGAGCAATCTGAAGCCACTCTGATTCTATAGTCTGTATAACCTGGAAGGGTGTGGGATCTCTTTTTCCTCGATGTTCAGAAAATTCACAATGATATGCCTTGACGTGGATGCTTTAATATTTGTGCTGGGTGCTTAGTAGGATCTTTCAGTGTGGAAACTCATCTCCTTAACATCTGGACAACTTTTTGAAGTCATTTATTATTTCCTGCCTTTCATTTTTTTTTTGGTTTGGAACTCCTGCACTGGTCCTGTGATGTGACTGCAGCCGCCAGGCGCGTGCGCAGTGTACACTGCGTGCGCATACGCGAGCCCGTTGCGCCTGCGCGCGGTGCGGCCGTCGCCCCTCTTTTCGCGGCGTTCTCCACCTGCGCGGGCCTGAATGGCCTTCAGGAGCACAGTCGGCCTGAGGAGTTGACGGTTACTCACCGCCGTGAGCCCAAGTAACTCGCCCTCCTTCGGCTAGAAACCCTCCGCCTGGGCCCGCGCGACAGGAGCGCGGTCTCTGAGGGGAGCGGCGACCCCGCCAGCCCCGGTCTCTTTCCCTGGCGGCGGCGGCTTCTTCCGTGGGACAATATGTTCAAGAGAATGGCCGAATTTGGGCCTGACTCCGGCGGGAGAGTAAAGGTCAGTGCCCGGACCGCCCCTCTTCCGGGGTGGCTCTCCCGCCTCGGTTCCTCCCTGCGCGGCGCGGGGAGGGCCCACTGGGTTTCCTTTCGCGCCTTTTCTCCTCGGGTTTGAACCGTGGTTTCAGGTTGGAGAGCGAGTCAGAGCCATTGAGCGAAAAACCGGCGTTCATTGGGCCCCAACTTCCTCGCGTCACTGCCAACTCCCACCCCCGCCAAAAAACAAACAGATAAATGGTGGCTTGGGGAAACCCGGACGTGGCTGCCAAGGAAACGGGCGACTCCGAGGGCTGGGAAAGCTCAGCTTGGTGCACATTCGCTGCCAATCTAGGTTATTGGTGAAGCGGTGACGCCACCCTCCTGGTGTGAGGATAACAATAACTGTAGCAAACAGTCGCTGAGCGCTTACCCGCAGTATTTCCAAGTGCGGTAACTGAGACACCGAGGCATACGAAAGCTAAGAAAATTTGCTGGAGTTCATGGTGTTCACAAAGCCTCAAAGCAAGAGCATAACACTGTGCCTGGCACATGGGGAACATTCAGTAAATGTCAACTTCTTTTGTTTTTGATGAAATTACCATAGACCCTAGCGTAATGTTTGACATTGTAATATTTATTTCCCTCACACAGCCCCTGGCACGTTAATTTTTTTTTTTTTTTGAGACGAAGTGTCTGTCTTGTTGCCCAGGCTGGAGCGCAATGGCACGATCTCGGCTCACTGCAACCTCGGCCTCCCAAAGTGCTGGGATTACAGGCGTGAGCCACCGCGCCCAGCCGTGGTTCATTCTTTTTAAAGAAAAATTTCCTTTCCTTTATAAATAAAAATCAGAAGGGGTACAAATAGTTGTTTTTATCAGGAGCCAGTGGGTCCTGCCTTAAAAATTAACGTGCAGGGCCGGGCAAGGTGGCTCACGCCTGTAATCCCAGCACTTTGGAAGGCCGAGGAGGGTGGATCACCTGAGATCAGAAGTTCAAGACCAGGCTGGTCAACATGGTGAAACCCCGTCTCTACTAAATATACAAAAATTAGCCGGGCGTGGTGGCGGGCACCTGTAATCCCAGCTACTAGAGGGGCTGAGGCAGGAAAATCGCTTGAACCCGAGAGGCGGAAGTTGCAGTGAGCTGAGATCGTGCCACTGCACTCTAGCCTGGGCGACAGAGCAAGACAATGTTTCTTTAAAAAAAAAATAGCAATAATTAGTAGGTTTTAAAATACTTATGTGTGTGTGTGTGTGTGTGTGTGTGTGTTTTGTTTTGTTTTTTTTTGAGACGGAGTTTTGCTCTTGTTGCCCAGGCTGGAGTGCACTAGCGCAATCTCGGCTCTCCGCAACCTCCACCTCCTGGATTCAAGCGATTCTCCTGCCTCCAAGCGATTCTCCTGCCTCAGCCTCCTGAATAGCTGGAATTACAGGCATGCGCCACCATGCCCAGCTAATTTTGTATTTTTAGTAGAGACGGGGGCTTCTCCGTGTTGGTCAGGCTGGTCTCGAACTCCCGACCTCGGGTGATCTGCCCGCCTCGGCCTCCCAAAGTGCTGGGATTACAGGCGTGAGCCACCGTGCCTGGCCGCTTTTCTTCATTTTTATTGTTGTTGGTTACATTCACTCAGCACTTTTCACATGTGGTAAATCTTGCTCATTGTTCTTCAGATACATTTCTGTAACTGAGCCATTGGTTTCAGATTCATGTGCAACATTCAATATTTTCACTTCAATTGAAATTTTTTATCTTTCCAACATAATCTGTCAATACGCACTGCCTTTGCACTTATCAGATATAAGAAATATGTATGTTAAACTAAGGACAAATGTAGCAAACATGTCATCAGCCACTATTTACCAAGCTTCAGTCATCCAAGTGACTCTTGGCCATTTTTGCCATGTCTGAATTCAACTGTAATATTTATTGTAACATTTACATTTAAATCAGTTTATTTTTTAAAAGCCTCTTTCTAAGCGTTAATGTTTTTTAAATTGTAGGGTGTTTGGTTGTTTTTTTTTTTTTTTTTTTTTGGAGACAGAGGCTCGCTCTGTTGCCCAGGCTGGAGTGCAATGGTATGATCTCGGCTCACTGCAACCTCTGCCTCCCAGGTTCAAGCAATTCTCCTGCTTCAGCCTCCCAAGTAGCTGGGATTACAGATGCACACCACCAAGCCCAGCTAATTTTTGTATTTTTAGTAGAGGTGGGGTTTCACCATCTTGGCCAGGCTGGTCTTGAACCTCTGACCTCAGGTGATCCACCCACCTTGGTGAAATTGTAGGTTTTAATTTCTAGTTACAGTTATTACTATTTTTTAATACTGATTAAACACGTAAGTAAAAAAGTGAAAAATGTTTGACCTTTATTCTACCTCTCACAAATTACTCCTAATATTTATACTATACTTTGGGAAACACTGCCACAGGCTAGGTGATAAGGACATTGCCACAGGTGATGCCAGTCAGAATTGGCCATTTTTATTTCAATGCCTAGCTTTCAGGTGTTTAAGAAAAGGCCTTTTGCATTTCTTTTAACAACACTCTAAAAGCGCTTTACATGGTAATTTAAATAAAAGCATTTTCAAAGAGGGAACATTGTAATTATTCTGGCGTTTTTTGTGTTAATATGAAAGGATGTGTCTGAAATTGATTTGAGAGAAATCCATATTATAAGCAAACTATAGATTGTTAGCCTGCCATTCTTTAAAGCAAGTTTTCAGAGCTCTTATTCTGCATATTTAGCTAATGGTACAATATTCATTTATTTTAAAATTATTTTTCTTTTAGGGTGTTACTATCGTTAAACCAATAGTTTACGGTAATGTTGCTCGGTATTTTGGAAAGAAAAGAGAAGAAGATGGGCACACTCATCAGTGGACAGTATATGTGAAACCATATAGAAATGAGGTAGGCACTCGTTTTTTCTGTAACTGTTTTACTTAAAGTTGTCTGTAATTTGTTTTGCTTAAAGACAACCTGTAGTTTTTTTTTTTTTTTTTTTTTTTTTTTTGAGATGGAGTCTTGCTCTGTCGCCCAGGCTGGAGTGCAGTGGCGCGATCTCAGCTCACTGCAAGCTCCGCCTCCCGGGTTCACGCCATTCTCCTGCCTCAGCCTCCCGAGTAGCTGGGACTACAGGCGCCCGCCACCACGCCCGGCTAATTTTTTGTATTTTTTGGTAGAGACGGGGTTTCACCATGTTAGCCAGGATGGTCTCAATCTCCTGACCTCGTGATCCACCCGCCTCGGCCTCCCAAAGTGCTGGGATTACAGGCGTGAGCCACCGCGCCCGGCCGACAACCTGTAATTTTTTATAGTAACTTTCTGATTATAAAATTGGTCCGTTGTAGGAATGTTGTCAAAAAGTTTTTGAAAAAATAGAGAACTGTCATCTTCATATGATACTAGAAATCAATTTTCCAAAAATGTTTCCTAATTAAAATTAAGATAACAAGAACTATTTATGCTATAAATACAGTACAAGTACATCTTCCTAACATCATATCTAAGTTAACATAGTATTTAATCAGGAGTTTCAGGAATAAGCAGCTAATCCTTAAAGTAATAATGTGGTAATAAGAATGTGAAAGACAGCTCTGCTGTGTCATCTGATTGCTAGTAATTTTGTTTCACTGCTGAATCTTCAATGCCTGGAACATAGCCAGTACATAGTAGGCATTTAACAGATATTTATTGAGTGAGTAAATTATTCCTCTATTTAAAACCCTTCAGAGTCTACCCAAAAACTTGCATGTGAATATTGATACCAGTGTTATTCATAATAGCCAAAAAGTGGAAACAATTCATTTGTCTATCAACTGATGAATGGATAAATAAAATGTGATATATCCATACAATTGAATATTATCAAGCAATAAAAAGTAAAGTACTGATAAAGTAAAGATGCTACTACATGGATGAAACTTGAAAGCATTATGCTAAGTAAAAGAAGCCAAATATAAAAAAGGCCAAATATTATATGCTTTTATTTATATGAAATGTCCAGAAGGGGCAAATCCATAGACAAAGAAAATAGATAAGTGGTTGCTAGTGGGTGGGGGAGAAAGGGTATTGAGGTAAGTGCTAATGGATATGGCTTTCTTTTGTGTGATAAAAATGTTCTAAAATTGTAGTGATTCTTATGAGACTCTGTGAATATAACTAAAAACCATTGGCTAGGCAAAATGGCTCATTCCTGTAATCTCAGCACTATGGGAGGCCCAAGCGGGAGGATCGCTTGAGCCCAGGAGTTTGAGACCAGACTGGCAACATAGTAAGACTCCATCTCTACAGAAAAAAAAGGTATCATTATAGTAAGATTCCAGTTTATTTTTTAAATAATAAAGTTAGATATGAATGTAGATATAAGTAATTTAAAAATTCCTAAAAGTAAATTAAAAAGTTAATAAACATTACTATTGAATGTGACTTATTGCTTTGCATTTTTTTATTCTTCTATAATGAATTATATATTTTAAAAGCCACTTTTGCCAACAGAAACCCTTTTATTTGCCATAACTAATGAATATGCTTCTGTACTTTTAAAATAAAGAAAATGAGGAGTTTTTGTATTCAACAATCTTAGATTGCTTTAAATTAGTTGTCCTTAGCTTTATGTAATATAATTTTTTGTTTGTTTGAGATGGAGTTTCTCTCTTATTGCCCTGGCTGGAATGCAATGGTGTGATCTCAGCTTATTGCAACCTCCGCCTCCTGGGTTTAAGTGATTCTCCTGCCTCAGCCTCCTGAGTAGCTGGGATTACAGGCGCCGCCACCATGCTTGGCTAATTTTTTGTATTTTTAGTAGAGATGGAGTTTCCCCATGTTGGCCAGGCTGGTCTCAAACTCCTGACCTCAGGTGATCCACCTGCCTTGGCCTCCCAAAGTGCTGGGATTACAGGCGTGAGCCACCGTGCCCGGCGTATGTGATATAATTTTGTTCTTTGAAATTGACTATAGATTTGCCTTATATTTCTGTAATAGTACCAGATATGTACTGTTGTTTTAATGGAAAAAAATCAAAATTGATTTAGAATATTATCTATAGAGGTGTATTAAAACAAGATTTGCCAAAAAAAAAGTTAATTTGGGACGTGTATTTCTATACATTACAAATCATAAAAGAATTCAACACAGGCTTCCTTTTTGTTTTTTTAAAAAAAGCAAAATAGGCCAGGTGCGGTGGCTCACGCCTGTAATTCCAGCACACTGGTAGGGCGAGGCAGGTGGATCACCTGAGGTCAAGAGTTCGAGACCAGCCTGGCCAACATGGTGAAACCCCGTCTCTACTAAAAATACAAAAAATTAGCCAGGCATGGTGGCAGCCGCCTGTAATCCCAGCTACTCAGGAGGCTGAGGCAGGAGAATTGCTTGAACCTGGGTCAGGGAAGTTGCAGTGAGCCAAGATCATGCCACTGCACTCCAGCCTGGGCAACAAAGCGAGACTCCATCTCAGGAAAAAAAAAAAAAAAGCAAAATAACTTCCCAGGTGTAGTTCATGTTTTTTAGAAAATTAGATTCCATAAAATTTGAAGGGAAGTATGTTTTTTATAAAACTAAGTATATACGCTCAGTGTATTTTTTTTCCTAGTTTTCATTTGTAGATCATAAAACTAACTAATTCCTTATATTTTAGGATATGTCAGCATATGTGAAGAAAATCCAGTTTAAATTACATGAAAGCTATGGCAATCCTTTAAGAGGTACAATATAGTCTTTTGATTCACAATATCCAAAGTTAAAAATGGCTAGGAAACTAAACCGATAATTTACTATTTTTTTTCTGTCTTTAGTTGTTACTAAACCTCCATATGAAATTACTGAAACAGGATGGGGTGAATTCGAAATAATCATCAAAATATTTTTCATTGACCCTAATGAAAGACCTGTGAGTAGCATTAATCTTTGTAAATATAAAATAGATTTCTTAGTAAATGTGAACATGTAATAATACTTAATGAATAGTGTTCATTCAGATGTGTTTTATGTAAATTTATGGCACAGTGTATCTTGCCATGAGTTAAGTTTTTCATTTTTAAATGTAGCGCCTTTCAAAATCCTTTTTTTTTTCAAGTATGGAAAAAAACATATAATATGAACATGTATTGGAAAGAAACCATGGAAATCAGATGACTACTGCAGCAAAAAAACTTAAAACTATTATTATCATTCGGTTATTAGTAATAAATAAGTTGAGCCCATATGCTGTGTAAAATAGTTTTTATAGTTTTTGGTAGTTAAACCCTAAGAAACAGTGTTTTTGCTTTTTTAAGCTGTCATCAGTACTAGCGCTTCATTTTATATCTTATTTATGAGTCTTTATTTTTATAGCCACTGGCTTTTTCATCTTTTGATCTCTTCTTATCAGATTGTTGCTTGATAATGTAAAAAAAAAATCCCTCCAGGCTTTTGCTTTGATCCTTCAGCAACTTTGTTAGGTTGTGATACCCTCATTTTAGAGATCAGGATACCAAGGCTCAGAGGTCAAGTCACTGCTCAAAAACACTCAGTTAATTATGGTAGAGCTAGTTTTTGAACCCAGATATTTGCATTCATACCTTTTTCTAGTATTTTTTCTTTTGAGTAAAACCACTAGGCCTTTTTTTTTCTTAAGCCTGTAGGGTCAAAACTCAGTAATGGCTCTCACATTCCACATATGTGGCTGGGGTTTAACTCCAGTTTCAAGGCTTTCACATTCATCACCATTTTATCTTGTTAGAATCACATCAGTCTTTTAGCACCAAACATTTACATTTTAATTATCAGATTATATTTTTTAAACTGTGTATGTATTTTTAAAGGAGCTGAATATCACCTGGACCAGTATTTCAGCAAACCGGTTCCTAACTGGCTGCATCAGAAACACCTGAGGTGCTTGCTTATTTATTTATTAATTTTTGTGAGGTGCTTTTTAAAAATTCAAGCTCCTAGGCCTCACCTTTTGGAGAGTCTGATTCAGTAGGTTTGGAATGGGGCCAGCACCCCAGGTGATTTTGATGCACAATGAGAATTGGGACCCAATGACGTAGACTTACTCTTTTCTTCCTACGTAGGAATTTATTTAGGCAATATCTCAAATGAGAATCTAGTTTGGGCTTGCATATCTCCAATATGGAGAATTAACTTATGTCACTAAGTAAAACATCCTATTCAAGGTTGGGGTAGTTTTAGTTTTAAGAAAGCTGTACTTCGTTACGCTTCCCTGAACTTTTTACTGATTACTATTCCTACCTTAGTTTTCTTTTCTCATGAGTAAGCATCCATAGCTCATTTAAACATTTTTTGTGTTTTCATGTGATGAAGTTTTTAGATCTCCTACCATCTGTGTTGCCCTTCAGGAAAACACACTCATGTTATATTTTGTTTGGCAATAATTTTTTTTTTCTTTTGAGACAGAGTTACACTCTGCTGCCCAGGCTGGAGTACAGTGGCATAAACACAACTCACTGCAGCCTCCACCTCCTGGCCTCAAACAGTCCTCTGCCTCAGCCTCCCCAGTAGATGGGACCACAGATGCATGCCACCATGCTGAGTTAATTTTTTATTTTCTGTAGAGATAGGGGCTCGCCATGTTGCCCAGGCTGATCTCAAACTCCTGGGCTCAAGCATTCCTCTCGCCTTGCCCTCCCAAGGTGCTGGGATTACAGGCATGAGCCACCATGACCGGTCAAGAAATTATTAAATATTATATCTGCTATTTGTAAGATATTGTTTAAGGGATTGAGAAGGATACAAAAATGAGACACTGACCTTAATGAGAATAGTTTATTAGGGAAAAGAGAGCATAGAATTTAGCAGATGTTGAGAGGGAGAGAGAAGCAGCTCATATGTTACTAGAGTAGAAGCTCTTTTTAACTTTGTAAGATTGCTGGGTTTTCATTTTTATTTTGAGAATATGCTGCCTTACCTCCCTGTCTCCTCATCTGTTACCCCTTATCCCCAGTTGGAAAATAAATCTATGAAAGAAATCATTGTACCCTGTAACCTCATTATGAGACAGCTCTTGAAGTCACTCTTAGAAAGGTATATAACCTATTGCACTGCTATAGTGATTAATCTGTTTAATAGATTCCCATATAGATTTACATAGGCCTGAATTTTATTCTCTAAAAAATATTATAGGGTTTTTTAGTATTATTAAACTATTGTACTTTTTCAATAGTTAGCTCTTACAGAAAATGTCCAGTGAAGGTTTATTTAAAATATCTAAGAAAGACAAGTTGGTTGGAAGACAACTTGTGATTTACTTCTGCTACCCAGTAACCTATTATACAGATCAAGCCACTATAAAAAGAATGGTTGTTTCTAAAAGCAAAATGTCAAATTGAGTTTTCATTCCTAGAAATAGGGATTTCTAGGCAAGTATAGGCAGTTTCATTGTTCTAAGAATTTTCAAACACCACTCAAAATTACAGACATCTGTCTTGAAATGTTTTTATTGCCTATATCCGCATGAATGCCTCTGGAAGTCTGAATAATAAATTTAGGGAAGGACAGTTTTACAATGTAATTGTAAGAATTTCTTAATTGTAAAAGTCAGTTGTGCACATGGTTTTAAGAGAAGATTTTTGAAATAAGTGTAAGTCTTCTGTGTTAGTTTTCTGGTACCATAAACTGGGTGGATTAAAACAACAGAAATTTATTCCCACAGATCTGAAGGCTAGAAGTCTGAAATCAAGGTGTTGGCCATGTTTTTTCCAAAGCCTTTAGGGGAGCATCTTTCCTTGCCTCTTCCAGCCCCAGATGTTCCTTGGCTTTTGGCAACATATCTCTAATATCTTCCTCCATTGTCACATGGCCTTATCTTTCTCCCTGGTCTCTGTGTCTTCTTCTCTTAGAAGGACACCAGTCATATTGGATTGTGGTCCACCCTAATGACTTCATTGTAATTACACCTGCAAAGACCCTGTTTCCAAATAATGTCACATCCACAGGTGCTGAGAATTAGGGCTTCGTATCTTTTGCCTGCATTTATAGTCCCAGTTACTTGGGAGGCTGAGGCAGGAGTATCATTTGAGATCAGGAATTCAAGACCAGCCTGGGCAACATAGTAAAACCCCATCTCAAACAAAATATACCTTTTGCAGGGAGGTCACAATTCAGCCCATAACATCTTTATCCCATCTTTGACCTCTTTTCCAAGAAAACTGCTTTTTAACAGTTACCTGTTCTCAATTCCTCTAGAAATTACTCACTCCTGTGCATCTCATATATTTAAATCCCTAATACTGGATTTCTCAGCTTCAGATAGTATCTTTCAGTGCCTAATGATTGATTATAGGTGATCCTTTTTCGTCCTCTTTCCAAGTTTCTTTTTTTCATTTTGCCAAAGGAATTTTTTCAGAAAGGATGCCTGAGAAATAAACTTTCAGAGATATTGCCCATCTGAAATGTCCTTATTTTTTCTTCATAGTTCATTGTTGGGGAGAAAAATTCTAGGCACTAAAGGTAGATATGCTTTCTTGTCTATGAATGGAGAGAGAAGAGAAAGTCAAGAGGCCTAGCTACCCCATAGCATTCTTGACTTTGATACTTGCCAGTTCTGAGCTTGGAGCACTGTAGGGCTCCTGGGAGCTCTGGCTCACACCTCTTAGGCAGTTTTCTTAAGTTTTCAGGTTGTGGTTTTTCTCTGGTGTCATTGTTTATTATCCTTCTTGGTAGACTCATCTGCTTTCTGTCTGTTCCAGAAATTTGTTAAATTATTTGCTTTAAATAATTTGATATGTAATTCATGCTCTCTTATTTTGCTGTTATTTTAGTAGAATTCTGTGCATTTCCCTCCTCCCCTTTCTACATTCTTAGTGCATCATCTTGAGCCTGGAAGATGTCCTTTAAGTAGGATATTTCCACTTGCTGAGCCATGTCCAGGGAAATCTGACATTCTGTTAATTGAGCTAGATTGTCTTTAGGGGGAGTTGATGGTGCTTGTTTAAATTCAGTTGCAAGGAATTTTATATTTTCTGACTTTTTCAGTGTACCCTTCCTTGCTCCCTATTTCATGACTTTTTTGAAGAGTACCATTCTCTTACAATTATGCTAGCTAACTTTTTAGAAAATTATTTGGGGTCTGGTTTTCAGAACTTCAACATGAAGTCTGATGTTTTCCGAACTAGATTTTATTTTGCTGAAATAATCACACATTGTGCTACAAAGCTTTTCCTTTGATGTCTTACTATACCTGTTTTTAGGTATTTGAAGACATGTTGCTCTTGCCAAAGTGAATTATTACTGACCAACTTTTTATTTATTTATTATGTCATTTATGTAATAATCTTATAGATCCCCAAAGAAATTATCTTGCCCTCACTGAACTTTTTCATTCCCCACAGTAAATTTGTAAACTCTAATCTTCAAAGCAGTCACAATTAATCCACTTGTGTAAGTAAAAGAATTCATGTTTTAGTGATTTCTCAGTTTAATTTCTATAGCTTTATCTTGTGTTATTTTTAGTTTCCTCTCTAGAGATTCTTGAACAGATTCTTAATTACCCTCTAAAGAGTATTCATGTTAGGTAGATATGAATGGATCTAATAGGAAAATAAAGGTACAGAAAATTTGGGTGATTTGCTGCAATAAGTTGCAGTTGAAACAAGATCATGAATTTGACATGTATATACTTATTCCAGTCTCTATTTCAGTTAAAAAAATGCCAGTATCTTATGATGATAAAAACCATTGCACAGATTTGACATCTGTTTCTATTTCACAGGTAACCCTGTATCATTTGCTAAAGCTGTTTCAATCAGACACCAATGCAATGCTGGGGAAAAAGACAGTGGTTTCAGAGTTCTATGATGAAATGGTAAGAAGATTTTATAATGATAGTTTTAAAAGCATTTGAAGTTGGAGAACTTTGAAGTTATTGGGTTTTTGTTCATTTTATCCCATTAGATATTTCAAGACCCAACAGCAATGATGCAACAATTATTGACAACATCTCGTCAGCTAACATTAGGAGCCTATAAGCATGAAACAGAATGTAAGTGCCATGCATTCATAATTCTGAAAAATAACGTATTCTGTAATAGTGAAAGGGTTGTATGATTCGTGCCTTTTACACTTTAAAAAAATGAAATAGGTAAGTTTTTTAGGTGTTAAAAAACACAGTTTGTATTACAGTGGAACATGTAAAAAGGATGTTTTAAATTGTTCCCAAGTAGGCCTGCTTTCAAGAAGGGTGAAAGACAGCCTCTTACATTCGCTGAAGTACTGTTTGTCTGTTTTATTCCCTAATTACATTTAAGTATAGTTTTTTATTAGTCTTGCTTAGCCTATCATTTTCTGTTTACTAGTCTTTGCTAACAAAATCTGTGTGAAGAACCTTGCAAACCATAATTATACTTTTATATACTGTGAACTAGTTTATCTTATATTTTTGCTGATGTCATTTTACATAGTTTCAGATTAATGCTCAAGTGTTGACTACCTGAATGCCACATTGATAATCGGTCATGTTGTATTTTCTCTCTAAGCTGACATGGTCTCAGAATTCTGTACGCATTAATCTGTGCATCTATTCTCAGTCATTTGCAATTGGCATTTAATATGAAATCTATTTGACATCCCTGTGTTAACACTGATGTTACTGTTCAGTCATTTCTTTGATTATTCATTCATTACAATATATAGTGAGTACCAGTTAATGCCAACCATTGTTCTAGGTGCTAGCTGCTGAGGTTAGAGCAGTGCCTGAATCAGACAAAAAGCCCTATCGTCATGGGTCCTACATTCTAGTGGGAGGAAAACAGGTATTAAATAAACAGAACAAGGAAGTATAAGGTAGTGATTAAGTGCTATAGAGACAAACAAAGTGGGGCAGGGAGCATCTTTGGTGGGACGAGATGGTTGGAGTTTTAGATACTGATATCAAAATGTCAGTCAGGAAATGCTTTCTGAGCATTTGGAGACCTAAAGGGGTAAAGGAGTGATCTAAGGGAAGGATATTATATGTAGAGGGAGCAGTGAGGACAAAGGCCCTCAGGTAAGTACATGGCTGAAAAACAGCAAGAAGTCCAGTGTGACTAGAGTAGAGTGAACAAGAGGACGAGGAGTGGGAGATGAGATCAGAGAAGTTAATAGGGGACTAGGTCATATAGGGACTTGTGGGTAACTATGAGGGCTTCAGATTATTAAACTGAGATATGAAGTCATTTGTGAGTTTTGAGCAAAGGAATGACATCAGATTTAACTTCTTTAAAATGTTTAATTTTGTGGGTATATTGTAGGTATATATATTTACTGGGTACATGGGATATTTTGATACAGGCATACAATGTCTAAAAATTACATCCAGGAAATGAGATATCGATCACCTCAAGCATTTACCCTTTTTGTTACAAATAATCCAAATATACTCTTTTAGTTATTTTTAAATGTACAATTACATTATTATTGACTATAGTCACCCTGTTGTGCTATCAAATGCTTAATTTATTCATTCTTTCTATTTTTTGTACCAATAACCATCCTTTACCCACCTACCCACTACCCTTCCTACCCTCTGGTAACCGTCATTCTACTCTGTTTTCTGTATCTCATGAGTTTTTTTTTTTTTTTGAGACAGAGCCTTGCTCTGTTGGCCTGGCTGGAGGGCAGTGGCATGATCTCGGCTCACTGCAACCTCTGTCTCCCAGGCTCAAGTGATTCTCCTCCCTCAGCCTCCCTAGTAGCTGGGATTACAGGTGTGTACCACCACACCTGGCTAATTTTTTTTATATTTTTAGTAGAGACAGGGTTTCACCATGTTGGCCAAGCTGGTCTCGAACTCCTGACCTCAGTTAATCCACCCACCTTGGCCTCCCAAAGTGCTAGGATTATAGGCATGAGCCACCACACCCAGCCTAGTTGTTTTAATTTTTAGCTCCCACAAATAAGTGAGAATATATAATGTTTTATCTTTCTGTGCCTGGCTTACTTCACTTAATATAATGACCTTAAGTTCCATCCATGTTGTTTGGAATGACAGGATTTCATTCCTTTTTTATGGCTGAATAGTACTCTCTTGTGTATATGTACCATATTTTCTTTATCCATTCATCTGTTGATGGACACTTGGGTTGCTTTCAAATCTTGGCTATTGTGAATAGTACTGCAATAACATAAACATGGAAGTGCAGATATCTTTTTGATATACTGACTTATTTTCTTTTGGATATATACCTAGCAGTGGGATTGCTGGATCATATAGCTCTATTTTTTGTTTTTTGAGGAATCTCCAAACTGTTGGCCATAGTGGTTTTACTAATTTACATTCCCACCAACAGTATATAAGGGTTCCCTTTTCTCTGCATCCTCGCCTGCATTTGTTATTGCCTGTCTTTTCGATAACAGCCATTTTAACAGGCATGAGATGACATCTCATTGTAGTTTTAATTTGCATTTTTCTGATGATCAGTGATGTTGAGCACCTTTTCGTATACCTGTTTGCCATTTGTATGTCATCTTTTGATAAATGTCTATTCAGATCTTTTGCCCGTTTTAAAATCAGATTCTTAAGGAGTTGTTCGAGCTCCTTATATATTCTGATTATTAATTCTTTGACAGATGGGTAGTTTGCAGATATTTTCTTCCATTCTGTGTGTTGTCTCTTCACTTTGTTGTTTCCTTTGTGGTACAGAAGTTTTTTAACTTGATGTGATCCCGTTAATCCATTTTTGCCTTGGTTGCCTGTGTTTATAGGGTATTACACAAGAAATCTTTGTCCAGTCCAGTGTCCTAGAGAGTTTCCCCAATGTTTTCTTTTAGTAGTTTAATAGTTTGAGATCTTAGATTTAAGTCTTTAATCCATTTTAATTTGATTTTTGTATATGGCGAGAGATAGGAGTCTAGTTTCATTCTTCTGCATATAGATATCCAGATTTCCTGGCACTATTTATTGAAGAGACCATTTTTTTCCTCAAGTATATATTCTTGGCACCTTTGTCAAAAATGAGTTCCCTGTAAGTGTGTGGATTTGTTTCTGGGTTCTCTAGTCTGTTCCGTTGGTTTATGTGTCTCTTTTTCTGCAAGTACCATGCTGTTGTGGTTACTATAGCTCTGTAGTATAATTTGAAGTCAGGTGATTCCTCCAGTTTTGTTCTTTTTGCGGAGGATAACTTAGGCTATTCTGGATCTTTTGTGGTTCCACATAAAATTTTAGGTTTTGTTTTTTTTTTTCTATTTCTGTGAAGAATGTCATTTGTATTTTGATAGGGATTGCAGTGAATCTGTAGATTGCTTTGGGAAGTATGGGCATTTTAACAATATTGATTTTCCAGTTCATGAACATGGAATATCTTTCCTTTTCTGTGTGTTCTCTTCCGTTTCTTTCATTACTGTTTTATATTTCTCATTGTACATATCTTTCACTTCTTTGGTTAATTCCTAGTTATTTAATTTGTAGCTGTGGTAAATGAGATTACTTTCTTTTTTTTTATTTAATTTTTTAGTATTTATTGATCATTCTTGGGTGTTTCTCGGAGAGGGGGATTTGGCAGGATCATAGGACAATAGTGGAGGGAAGGTCAGCAGATAAACATGTGAACAAAGGTCTCTGGTTTTCCTAGGCAGAGGGCCCTGCTGCCTTCCCGCAGTGTTTGTGTCCCTGGGTACTTGAGATTAGGGAGTATGCTGCCTTCAAGCATCTGTTTAACAAAGCACATCTTGCGCCGCCCTTAATCCATTTAACCCTTACACATGTTTCAGAGAGCACGGGGTTGGGGGTAAGGTTATGGATTAACAGCATCCCAAGGCAGAAGAATTTTTCTTAGTACACAACAAAATGGAGTCTCCTATGTCTACTTCTTTCTACACAGACACAGTAACAATCTGATCTCTCTTTCTTTTCCCCACATTTCCCCCTTTTCTATTCGACAAAACCGCCATCGTCATCATGGCCCGTTCTCAATGAGCTGTTAGGTACACCTCCCAGACGGGGTGGCGGCCGGGCAGAGGGGCTCCTCACTTCCCAGACAGGGTGGCCGGGCAGGGGCGCCCCCCACCTCCCAGACAGGGCGGCGGCCGGGCGGGGGCTGCCCCCACCTCCCGGACGGGGCAGCTGGCCGGGCGGGGGCTGCCCCCCACCTCCCGGAGGGGGCGGCTGCCGGGCGGAGACGCTCCTCACTTCCCTGACGGGGTGGCTGCTGGGCGGAGGGGCTCCTCACTTCCCAGACGGGGAGGCTGCCGGGCGTAGGGGCTCCTCACTTCTCAGACGGGGCGGCCGGTCAGAGACGCTCCTCACCTCCCAGACGGGGTGGCGGCGGGGCAGAGACACTCCTCAGTTTCCAGATGGGGTCGCGGCCGGGCAGAGGCGCTCTTCACATCTCAGATGGGGCGGCGGGGCAGAGGCGCTCCCCACATCCCAGAGGATGGGCGGCCGGACAGAGACGCTCCTCACTTCCTAGACGGGATGACGGCCGGGAAGAGGCGCTCCTCACTTCCCAGACTGGGCGGCTGGGCAGAGGGGCTCCTCACATCCCAGACGATGGGCGGCCAGGCAGAGACGCTCCTCACTTCCTAGACGGGGTGGCGGCCGGGCAGAGGCTGTAATCTCGGCACTTTGGGAGGCCAAGGCAGGCGGCTGGGAGATGGAGGTTGTAGCGAGCAGAGATCACGCCACTGCACTCCAGCCTGGGCAACATTGAGCACTGAGTGAGCGAGACTCCGTCTGCAATCCCGGCACCTCGGGAGGCCAAGGCTGGCAGATCACTCGCGGTCAGGAGCTGGAGACCAGCCCAGCCAACACGGCGAAACCCCGTCTCCACCAAAAAATACAAAAACTGGTGAGGCGTGGTGGTGCGCGCCTGCAATCCCAGGCACTCGGCAGGCTGAGGCAGGAGAATCAGGCAGGGAGGTTGCAGTGAGCCGAGATGGCGGCAGTACAGTCCAGCCTGGGCTCGGCATCAGAGGGAGACCGCGCAGAGAGGGAGGGGGAGGGGGAGACTTCTTTCTTGATTTCATTTTCAGATTGTTCACTGTTGGCATACAGAGATGCTACTGATTTTTTTGTATGTTGATTTTGTATCCTGCAGTTTTACTGAATTTGTTTATCAACTCTTAATAGCTTTTTTGGTGGAGTCTTTAGGTTTTTCCAAATATAATATCATCTACAGGCTGGGTGTGGTGGCTCACGCCTGTAATCCCAGCACTTTGGGAGGCCAAGGCAGATGGATCACCTGAGGTCAGGAGTTCAAGACCAGCCTGGCCAACATGGCGAAACCCTTCTCTGCTAAAACTATAAAAATTAACCGAGCATGGTGGCATGTGCCTGTAATCCCAGCTACTCGTGTGGCAGAGGCAGGAGAATTGCTTGAACCTGGGAGGCGGAGGTTGCAATGAGCCGAGATTGTGTCACTGCACTCCAGCCTAGGCAACAGAGTGAGACTCTCTCTCAGAATAAATAAATAAATAAATAATGATAATATCATCTACAAACAAGGCTAATTTGACTTCTGCTGAATTTTATCAGATCCTTTTTCAGCATCAATTGAAATGATCATATGGTTTTTGTCCATCATTCTGTCGATATGAGGTATCACATTGATTTGCTCATGTTGAGCGATTCTTACATCCCTGGGATAAATCCCGCTTGGTCACGATGAATGATCTTTTTAAGGTGTTGTTGAATTCTTTTTGCTAGTGTTTTGTTATGGATTTTTGCATCAGTGTTCATCAGGGATATTGGCCTGTGGTTTTCTTTTTTTGATGTACCTTTGGTTTTGGTGTCTAGGTAATACTGGCCTCATAGAATGAGTTTGGAAGTATTATTTTCTCAATTTTTTGGAATAGTTTGAGTAGGGTTGGTATTAGTTCTTCTTCAAATGTTTGGTAAAATTCAACAGTGAAGCCATTGGGTCCTGGGCTTTTCTTTGCTGGGAGACTTTTTACTACAGCTTCAATCTTGTTGCTTGTTACTGGTCTGTTCAGGTTTTGGATTTCTTCATGATTCAATCTTGGTAGGTTGTATGTGTCTAGGAATTTATCCATTTCTTCTAGATTTTCTAATTTATTGGCATATAATTGCTCATAGTGGCCACTAATGATCCTTTGAATTTCTGCACTGTCAGTTTTAATGTCTCCTTTTTCATCCTTTGAGTTTTCTCTTTTTTCTTAATCTGGCTAAAAATTTGTCAGTTTTGTTTATCTTTTCAGAAAACCAACTTCTTGTTTCATTGAGCTTGTATTTTTTCTTCATTTCAATTTTATTTATTTTTACTCTGATCTTTTTTCCTCTACTAACTTTGGGTTTGGTTTGCTCTTGCTTTTCTCATTTTTTACAATACATCGTTAGATATTTTATTTGAAGTTTTTCCTCTATTTGGCTACAGACATTTAAAGCTACACATTTCCCTCTGAGTACTGCTTTTGCTGTGTTGTTTCCATTATCTGTTTCAATAAATTTTTCAGTTTCCATCTGTCCTTCCTTCCTTCCTTTCCTCCTTCCCTCCTTTCTTTCTTTCTAACTTTTTTGGAGCTGGGGATCTCGCTGTGTTTACCAGGCTGGTCTTGAACTCTTGTCCTCAAGCGATCCTCCCACCTCAGCCTCCCAAAGTGCTGGGATTATAGGTGTGAGCCTCTGCACCTGACCCAATTTTTCAATTCTTAATCTCTTCATTGACCCACTGGTCATTCAGAAGCATATTGTTTAAATTCCATGTGTTTGTATAGTTTCCAGAATTCCTCTTGTTATTGATTTCTAATTTTATTCCATTGTAGTCAGAGAAGATACTTCACATTACTTGCTTTTTTAAAAAAAAATGTTTTATGACTTGTTTTGTGGCCTAACATATGGTCTTTATCCTTGAGAATGATCCATGAGGTCAGGAGAAGAATGTGTATTCTGTAGCCATTTGATGAAATGTTCTGTAAATACCTATTAGGTCCATTTGGCCTATTTTGCAGATTAAGTCCAATGGTATTTTTTTGTTGATTTTCTGTCTGGATGATCTGTTCAGTGCTGAAAGTTGGATGTTGGCGATGCCAGGTATTGTTGTATTGGGGTCTATCTCTCTTAAACTCTAATAATATTTGCTTTATGTATCTGACTGCTCCACTGTTGGGTGCATATATGTTTACAATTGTTATATCCTCTTGCTGAATTGACTCCTTTATTATTATATAATGACCCTGTCTCTTTTTATAGTTTTTGTTGTGCAATCTGTTTGTCTGATGTCAGTATTGCTACTCCTGCTCTTTTTTGATTTTGCATGCAATATCTTTTTTTTTCATTTGCATGCAATATCTTTTTCCATCCCTTTATTTTCAGTCTACGTGTGTCTTTATAGGTGAAGTGTGTTTCCTGGAGGCAGTACATCACTGGGTCTTGTTTTTTCATCCATTCAGCCACTCTGTGTCTTTTGATTGGAGACTTTAGTCCATTTACATTCACTGATATTGATATTTACATTCATTAGTATTGATAAGTAAGGACTTCCACCATTTTATTTTTCTGATTGTTTGATGGTCTTCTCTTTCTTCTTTCCTTCCTTCCTGTTTTCCTTTTAGTGAAGGTGATTTTTTCTGGTGGTATATTTTAATTTCTTTTTATTTTTGTGTTTCTCTTTTATGTTTCTAGGTTTGAGCTTACCATGAAGCTTGCAAATAATATCCTATAACCCGTTGTTTTAAACTGATGACAGCTTAACACTGATTGCATAAACAAGCAAGCAAAAAGAAAGCAATAAACACTTTATATTTTAACTTCATCTCCCCACTTTTAACTTTTTGTTGTTTCTATTTATATCTTATTGCTATCTATGTCTTGAAAAATTGTAGTTATTATTTTTGATCGGTTCATCTTTTCATATTTCTACCTAAGACTTGTGTAGTTTACAAACTGCAATTACAATGTAATAATATTCTTTGTTTTTCTGTTTACTTGCCAGTGAGTTTTGTATCTTCAGATGATTTCACATTACTTATTAACATGCTTTTCTTTCAGATTGAAGAACTTCAGCATTTCTTGTAGGGCAGCTCTGGTGTTGATGAAATCTCTCAGCTTTTGTTTGGGAAAGCATTTCTCCATGTTCGAAGGCTATTTTCACCAGATGTACTATTCTAGGACAAAAGGCTTTTTTTCCTTCAGCACTTTAAATGTCATGCCACTTTCTACTGGCCTATAAAGTTTCCACTGAAAAGTCCACTACCAGATGTATTAGAGCTCCATTGTATGTTACTTGTTTTTGTGTTTATTTCCTCTTGTTGTTTTTAGGATCCTTTCTTTATCCTTGAGATTTATGAGTTTGATTATAAACTGCCTTGAGGTAGTCTTCTGTGTGTTAAATCTCCTTGGTGTTCTATAACCTTCTTGTACTTGAATATTGATATTTTTCCCTGAATTTGGGAAGTTCTCTATTATTATCCCTTTGAATAAACTTTCTACTCCTCTCTCTCTCTATCTCCTCTTTAATTAAGGTCAATAACTCTTAGATTCTACCCCTACCCTGCCTTTTTATTTTGAGACAGGTCCTGACTTTGTCACCCAGGCTGGAGTGCAGTGGCATGATCTTGGCTCACTGCAACCTCCACCTTCCGGGTTCAAGCAATCCTCTCACCTCAGCCTCCTGAGTAGCTGGGACCCACAGGCACATGCCACCACTATGCCCAGCTAATTTTTTTTTTTTTTTTTTTTTTTTTTTTTTTTTTTTTGGTGGAGATGGGGTTTTGCCATGTTGCCCAGGCTAGTCTCGAACTCCTGGGCTCAAGCAGTCCTCCCTCCTTGGCCTCCCAAAGTGCTGGGATCATAGGTGTGAGCTGCTGCACCTGGCCTGGATTTCCCCTTTTCTAGGTTATTTTCTAGAACTTGTAGATGTGCTTCATTTTCTCTTGTCTCCTCTCACTGTGAATTTGCAAATAGCCTCTCTTCAAGCCCACTAATTCTTTGTTCTGCTTGATCAGTTCTGCTATTAAGTGACTGATGCATTCTTCCATATGTCAGTGGTGTTTTCAACTCCAGCATTTCTGCTCGATTCTTTTAATTTCCATTTATTTATTAAATTTATGTGATAGGATTCTAAATTCTTTATCTGTGTTATCTTGAATTTCTTTTGAGTTTCCTCAAAACAGCTATTTTGAGTTATCTTTCTGAAAGGTCACATATCTCTGTTAGAGATTGGTCACTGATGCCTTATTTAGCTCGTTTGGTGAGGTCATGTTTTCCTGGATGGTCTTGATACTTGTTGATATTCATCAATGTCTGGGCATTGCAGAGTTAGGTTTTTATTGTAGTCTTTGTAATCTAGGTTTGTTGTACCTGTCCTTGGGCAGGCTTTCCAGGTATTTGAAGGAACTTAGGTGTTGTGATCTAAATTTTTGGTCACTGCAGCCATATCTGCATTAGGGGATACCCCAAGGCCCAGTAATGCTGTGGTTCTTGCAGATTTGTAGGGTACGACTTTGGTGGTCTTGGATAAGATCCAGAAGAATCCTCTGGATTAGCAGGCAGAGACTCTTGTTCTCGTCCCTTACTTTCTCCCAAACAAACGGAGTTTCTGTTTCTGTGCTGAACTGCCTAGACCTGAGGAGGGATGACACAAGCACCCCTTTAGCCACCACCACTGGGACTGCCTTAGGTCAGACTTGAAGCCAGCACATTACTGGGTCTTGCCCAAGGCCCACTGTAACCGCTGCCTGGCTGCCACCTATGTTTGTGTGAGGCCCTAAGGCTCTATAATCAGCAGGTGATGAAGTCAGCCAGTATCAGGGGAAATTCAGCCAGATATCGGGTGAAATTCACCCCCAATATTTCACGTAGGTTCTTTCCTATTTTCCCTAAGTGCCGGCCAGTCTGAGAAATAAAGGGACAGAGTACAAAAGAGAGAAATTTTAAAGCTGGGTGTCCAGGGGAGACATCACATGTCGGCAGGTTCCATGATGCCCCACAAGCCACAAAACCAGCAAGTTTTTATTAGTGATTTTCAAAAGGGGAGGGAGTGTATGAATAGGGTCTGGGTCACAGAGATCACATGCTTCACAAGGTAATAAGATATCACAAGGCAAATGGAGGCAGGGTGAGATCACAGGACCGGGGCAAAACTAAAATTGCTAATGAAGTTTTGGGCACATATTGTCATTGATAACATCTTATCAGGAGACAGGGTTTGAGAGCAGGCAACCGGTCTGACCGAAATTTATTAGGCAGGAATTTCCTAGTCCTAATAAGCCTGGGAGTGCTACGGGAGACTGGGGCTAATTTCATCCCTACAGCTGCGACCGTAAAAGACAGCCGCCCCTGAAGCAGCCATTTCAGAGGCTTACCCTCAGGGACACATTCTCTTTCTCAGGGATGTTCCTTGCTGAGAAAAAGAATTCAGCGATATTTCTGTCATTTGCTTTTGAAAGAAGAGAAATATGGCTCTGTTCTGCCTGGCTCACCGGCAGTCAGAGTTTAAGGTTATCTCTCTTGTTCCTTGAACCAATTGCTGTTATCCTGTTCTTTTTTCAAGGTGCCCAGATTTCATATTGTTCAAACACACATGCTCTACAAACAATTTGTGCAGTTAACGCAATCATCACAGGGTCCTGAGGTGACATACATCCTCCTCAGCTTACAAAGATGACGGGATTAAGAGATTAAAGTAAAGACAGGCATAGGAAATCACAAGGGTATTGATTGGGGAAGTGATAAGTGTCCATGAAATCTTCACAATTTATGTTCAGAGATTGTAGTAAAGACAGGCGTAAGAAATTATAAAAGTATTAATTTGGGGAACTAATAGATGTCCATGAAATCTTCACAATTTATGTTCTTCTGCCATGGCTTCAGCCGTTCCCTCCGTTCGGGGTTCCTGACTTCCCGCAACATCTCTCCCTTTCTTTTTATATAAATGTGCCATGGTGATGAAGGCTTGTTCATTCTCTTGATTTTTACCCAGGATTCTTTGACTGGTCCGGCACACTAAAAACAAGCTGATTAAACAGAGAAATGTAATTCCACAATTTACTACAGTGGAGCCCCCAATAGACTTAATCCAAGTCGTGGGGTTTAATCCATAAAGATTTTCTGCCACCTGATCTAACGCCTCAGCTCCAGGCACAATGGATAAGTGAGCTTGAGAGGCTTCAAAAATTTGTTTCTTTAATTTAGTTATGTCCAATGATAAATTATCTTCCCTACCCAGAAGGCGTCCTTTGACCATTTCCCATGAATAATCAGTCTCATTATAGGAATAGGGGATGATACAGAAATCCAAAGTATTCCAGTTGCACTGCATTTGCATGCGATGTTCGAGACTCACCACCCAATCTCCAAGCCAAATAACAGACTGTCTTAAATCATTAATTTGATTAGCTTGTGTCCATCCCTTAAGGGCACTGAGTTTCCCTGGGCTGCGGGTAGGTCCAGAGATTCTGTCCAGGAGCCAGGGCCTGGAGTTGGAAACCTTAGGAATAATCCTGGTGCTCTGTTTTACTGTGGCTGAGCTGGCACCCAAGCTACAAGACAGCATCCTTCCCATTCTTCCCTCCCCTTTTTCCAGGCAGATGATTCTTTCCCTGTGTCCACCACTACCACAGGCCCACAAGGAGTTCTGTCAGGGTACCACAAATATTTACTTAAGGCCCAAGGGCTCTTCAGTCAGCTTGTGTTGAATACTGCCAGGCCTGGGACTTTCCCTTCAGGGCAGTGGGCTCCTCTTGGCCTAGGTAGGTCCAGAGATGCCATCCAAGGGCCAAGGCGTGGAATTGGGGAGTTGGTACCAAAGCTTAAGACAAAGTCCCCTTTACTCTTTCCTGTGTGTGGAGGCTGTCCCAGTAATTCAGATTTGGTAGAATGGTGGCTTGGACCAGAGTGATAGCAATGGGAGAAGACATTAGATTTTGGACCTGATTTGAAAATAGGTACAGGAGGATTTGCTGATGTTTTGAATAATGAGGTATTGGAGAAAGAAAAGCAAAGGATGACTTACATGGTTTTGGGCCTGAGGAACTCCAAAAAAGTCATTGCTTTTTACACAGGTGGGAGGTCTTGGAGGAACAGGTTTTTGCAATTCAGAGTACAGCTTTGGCGGCCAGGTGTGATGGCTCATGCCTATAATCGCAGCACATTAGAGGGGCTAGCATGGGAGGATTGCCTGAGCCCAGGACTTCAAGACTAGCCTGAGCAATGTAGTGAGACCCCATCTCTACAAAAAAAATTTTTTTAATTTTCTGGGTGTGGTGGCACATTCCTGTAGTACCAGCTACTCAGGAGGCTGAGGTTGGGGGATTACTTGAGCCCAGGAGGGCAAGGCTTTAATGAGCTGTTGTCATGTGACTGCACGCCAGACTGAACAATACAACAAGATTCTGTCTCAAAAAAAAAAAGTGCAAGTTTGGACATGATGGGTGTGGGATGTCTGTAAGACATGTAAGTTGAGATGTTGAGAAGGATGTTGCACCATGGCATTCAAAGAGAGGAGAAGTGTAGGCTGGAGACATAAATTTGAAAGTTAATACAGTTATAAATTATGAGACCAAATGGTATCATCAAAGGAGTAAGTGAAGATAGAAAAGAGGTCCAAAGACTGAGAGACCTGGGCACTCCAAAATTTAAAGATTGAGGAGATAACCAGCAAAGGGAATGAAGAACAAACAGCAAATATGGAGGGAGAAAAACTAGGTGCATGTAATGTCCTCACAGGCAAGTGAAAAAAGTGTATCAGGAACTAGAGAGTGTCTCATACTGCTGATAGGTCAAGTAAGATGAGGGCCCAGTAATTGGATAGAGTAAGATGGAGCTCCTTGATGACTTTAACAGGAGCAGTGTAAGGAGAACAGTAAGGTCAGAAGATGACTTGAAGTGGATAAGAGAACATCAGATAAGATAAATTGGAGACAGACACTGTGGGCAACTCTGTCTTGAAGCCTGGCTGTAAAGAGGAGCAGTAGTCTTTGAAGCAGTAACAGAAGCAAGATACGGGGTCAAGAGGGTATTGTTTTCAGGGGGAAATAAACTAGTATATTTGTAGGCTGAAAGGGAGTGATGCAATAAAAGAAGAGGTAGAGGGATGGTAATGAAGTGGGGAGGGAATTGCTGTTTAACAATTAGTGGTTATAGAAGTGTTTTGTTTATATTTTCATAAAACACTTGATTAGGACTTAAAAGATCTGGGTACTAATTATAATTTTGTGACTTAGGTAGTCATTGAAAATTTGTATGCTTTAGTTTCTTTATCTGCAAAAATGTTATGAACATAAAACAGTTAAGTATATGATCACTTTGAAAAGGTGAAAAGCACTACTGTGCTTCATTATTGATCACTCTCTTCTTTCTCTCATACCATGAAATGTGCCCATTCATGGCAGAAAATTCTCTTTTAAAATTCAAGTGCTCACATTTTTCTGTTTTTGACAAAACTATCATTTATTTATGTATAACAAGTAGTTATAAATAATATGTTTTGTGAAAAGGCTATAAATCTGTTTCAATGTGTTAAATCTTACGTATGGAGCTGTATAACCTTGGGAAGTTTTTATCAATAAATTAAGTTTTCTGTGTGATCTTTAGTTCATTTTCTTAACAGTACCAAATCAATAAGGAAGAAAAGTCTAATTCCATAAATGGTGTTGGCATAATTGGTAAGCTTTTGGGAAGAAAACTTAATTTTGATCATCACTTCATAGTACTTACCAAAACAAATTCCAGTTTAGTTAAAGATATTTAAATGTTTTTTTGAAAATCAGCCAGCCTGTTTTTTGAAAAATTAGATTACTGGCTATCCTGGCTAGGAAGGACTTTCCAAATTTAAAGTGTTAGGAAAAATCACATTAAAATAAGGATAGACTTTATTAAGTATATTTAATTTCTGCATTTCCAAAAGGCAAAGAAGAAAAGTTTGCAGAAAATATGGCAAAGAATTAATGTTTTTTTAAATGCTAAAATTGATAAATAGAAAAACCTGTTAAACCTCAGTAGATAAATGGGCAGAAGGTATGGACAGACAGATAGAATAAGAGATCACCAGTAAATAAAATGATAAAATATCTGGCCCTGCTAATAATTTTAAAAATGCAAACCAAACAGTAGTGAATGACTATATTTGTCCTATTAAATTAGCAAAAGCATTTTTTTTTCCCCTAGAGACAGGTTCTCGCTCTGTCACTCAGGCTGGGTTGCAGTGTCATGATCGTAGCTCACTGTAGCCTCAAACTTGGGGGCTCACATGATCCTCCTGCCTTGGCCCCCTAACAGTAGCTAGGACTACAGGTATGTGCCACCATGTCTGGCTAATTTTTTTTTTTTTTGTAGGGGCAGGTTTCTCCACCTCAGACTCCTAAAGTACTGGTATTACAGGCATGAATCACCATGCCAGCCAGGAATTTTAAATAGTTGTACCGATTAAGAGTAAACTTTGCACTCTCATGAATTGTTTTGTGAGTATAAATTTAGCTCTTTAGGAAAGCTATCTGGGAATATTAATCAAAGGTCTAAAAAATATGTATAGTTTTAATAATCTGAGGGCATATGATAGTCAATATTTAGTAATAATAAAATGCCAGACTTATTCAGTGCTTACTATTTGTATTCTTCTGAGTCTGTACATGTATAAACTCACTTAATTCTATAACAGCTTTATTAGGTAATATTTAGAAAAGGAAACCGAGGTATAAGGAGGTTAAGAAACTTGCCCAGGGTCACACAGCTAGTTAGTAGTAGAATCAGAACTTGATCCCTGGCAGTCCTCAGAACTTAGGCTCCAAAAATTTAATAGTATTTTTATAGAGAGAATATTTATTATGGAGTATATTGGAAGTTTAAGCACTAATGATCTAGCTTTTTAGTTGCTTCTTCAAGAAATAGTAAAAATGATAGTGAACACTTAGTGAGAGCTTACTATGTACCTGACAAGCACTTTCCATTTCTTAACTTATTTAATACTCTAAAATAACCCTAGGAGGAAGATACTATGATTAGCACCATTTTGTAGGTAAAAGCTCTAGAAAGATTTGATAACTTGCCCAAAATTACCCAGTAGAGCCTGCATTTTAAACCCAAAATCTGTCCACTTAACTAATAAGTTGTAAAAAGCCTGATAGTCTGTCTCCTAACCAGTATGCTGAACTGACTTTATAAAAGTAGTAATTCTTTGGATTTGTTTTCTCGAAATTGAGCTTCATTGGGAAATTAAAAACAGAAACTTTTCTTTTTTTGTATAAGCATTTAACACATAGGAAGCAGAACACTGGAACAAGCTAAAAGAAGTTTTAAAATGTTTTCCCCCAGGATCTCATTGCTAATTAACTCATGTCTTCTTCCAAACATCTAGTGCCCTTCGCAGTCTTACAAGTTGTCAAAAATAAAAGTATCATGAATCAAACAACAAATCTATGTTATATCTACAGTGAATGCTGTCCTTCTGACAATTGAGTTAATCAGGTCTCCCTGGCTAGTTTTAAAACTACCGCTTACAGCTATACAGGACTCCTTGTCTTTATGCTGCTTCCTGGGCCTGTATGCCCACTTCATTTACCTAACTCCTTTCTCATTGTTTAAAATTCAGTTTAGATGTTACTACTACCAAGAAGCCCTCCTTCATAAAACTCACCCTTTCTACTTGATTTGAATCCAGTCTACTCTTGTCGTTCCCTATGATTACCTCATAACATTAGTGCATTTTTTTCTTACCTGTTTCCTGCCTCTGTACCCCAGCATCTAACAAAGCGCATATCATTCAGTGTGTTTTTTAAATTGATGTGGGGAGAGAGGGTATAGGGGAATACAAATTTCTGCATAGTAAAAAGCACTGGGAACAAAGTCTAAAGACTGACAGGCCATAGAAAAATGTACTCATGTCACAAATGACTAGTTTCTTAACATACAGTAGTCCCCCTTTATCTGGAGAGGACACATTCCAAGAACCCCAGTGGATGCCTAAAACTACAGATAGTACCAAGCCCTATATACTGTTTTTTCCTATACATATATACCTATGATAAAGTTTAATTTATAAATTAGGCACAATAAAAGATTAACAACACTAATTAATAAAATAGAACATTATAACAATGAACTCTAATAAAAGTTATGTAAATGTGTGCTCTTTCCCCACCCCACCCCCCAAAAAAATCTTATTCTACTTTTTACTCACCTATTTTCAGACCGCTATTGACAGTGGCTAACTGTAAGCATGGAAAATGAAACCATGGATGAGGGGGGACTACTGTATAAAGCTGTATATAGCTCTTACAAATCAATAAGAAAGGCCAATAACCCAATAGGAAAATGAGCAAAAGGAAAACAGATCATTTGTAGAAAGGGAGAAATGTCTCAAACATTATAAAAAAGATGAGTCAGCCCCAATAGTAATAAGATGAATGCGAATTACAGAAATACTGTTTTTAACCTTTCAGGTTAGGTAAGACCAAAAAGTTGATGCAGTAGGGAAACAGACACAATGCTAATGGGATTATAAATTGGTAGATCCTTTTGAGTTGCTTGATGTTCTTCCAGAATTACAAGTACATATATATTCTATAACAGTTCCATTTCCAGGAATTTATCCTACAAATATACTAAAATGATTATTTACAGCATACACATTATTGCATTGTTTGTAAAAGAAAAAAATGGAGATACTCTGAGTGTACATCAATAGGGGGCAGACTAAATGAATTTTATTTATCCATTCAATTAGGTCCTCTGTAGTCATTAAAAAGAATGAGACAGCTCTGTGTTATAGGGTGAGCTTCCAGATATAATGTTAAGTGAAACAGCAAGGTGCAAAACAATGTGTATAGAATGATACCACTTGTGTTGGGAAGAAGAAGAAACTGCACTTGGGTATATGCTTTGTATATCAGCAGACTATTTCTGGGAAGATATCAGAGAACACAACAGTGATTATCTCTGGGAAGAAGCACTGATTGGTCATGGCAGGCTGGGGAACAAGTGTAGTAGAAGGGCATATTTTTTCACTGTCTACTCTTTAATCTTTTAATTTGTAATCTTGTGTGTACTACCTATGTATAAAAATAATTTGTAAAAGAATGAAAAGAATTACAAAGTAAAATATGAATTGTTTTGACAATCACAAAAAGCAAGTCACCAGCAATGAGCAAAATAAGGAAAGAACTCATTAATATTCATTGAATTTTTTTATTTTTTTTATTTTTATTTTTTTTTTTTGAGGCAGAGTCTCGCGCTGTCGCCCAGGCTGGATGGAGTGCAGGGCGCGATCTCGGCTCACTGCAAGCTCCGCCTCCTGCGTTCACGCCATTCTCCCGCCTCAGCCTCACGCGTAGCTGGGACTACAAGTGCTCGCCACCATGCCCAGCTAATTTTTTGTATTTTTAGTAGAGACAGGGTTTTACCGTGTATTGCATGTTTTTTATGTGCTAGATGCTTTACATATAATTACTTCATGTAATCTTCGTAAATCCTCTGAGAAATACCTAGTTTTAGCTGTATCGTACAAAGAGATTGATGGAGCCTTAGAAATGTTAGCATTCGGCTAATAAGGAAGCAAGGGTTTATTTGAAATCAGATCTTTTCTGTTTCCATAGTTGGGTTTTTTTCCCACCAAACCATCTGGCTTCCAATTAGTGACCATCTTTTATTAGTGAAAGTAAGTATAAGTGTACTTTAATAGTGAGCAGCAGTTACCAAAAATGTCCACAAGATGGAAATGTTAGACACAAGCAGATATTTTTCTTTGTAAAACATCATGCTACATATCCAAGTGGCATATTTAAATAGATGTGTCCTGTTTTGCAGTAACATTTCTTTAGTACTTTGTTATAGATAGATAGTTTCAGATATCACTTAATGTTTCTCTTTTCTCATAACAATAGTTGATAGGGCTTTTTCTGTACCAGGCAGTATTCTGGGTACTTTACATAAATTAATTCATTAAGTCTTCTCAACAGGCTGGGTGTGGTGGCTCACACCTGTAATCCCAGCTGCTTGGGAAGCTGAGGTGGGATAATCACTTGAACCCGGGAGTGAGAGTTTGCAGTGAGCCAAGATCACACCACTGCACTCCAGCCTGGGTGACAGAGTAAGATCCTGTCTCAAAAGTTTTCTCAACAAATAATATTATGAAGTATTTGCCATTATCATTTCTGTTTCATAAGTGAGGAACATAGGTGAAATAGCTTACAGTGTCACAGCTAGTAAGTGGCAGAGCTGGGATTCAAATTTTAGCAGTTATTGCCACCTATTTGAAAAAAAGATATTGGCTTGTATTGATAGTGTGATTTTGTTTATAAGTTTCACCTGGGCCGGGCCTGGTGGCTTATGCCTGTAATCCCCGCACTTTGGGAGGCTAAGGAGGGCGGATTGCCTGAGCTCAGGAGTTCGCAGTCAGCCTGGGCAACACGGTGAAACCCCGTCTCTACTAAAATACAAAAAATTAGCCGGGCATGGCAGCATGCACCTGTAGTCCCAACTACTCAGGAGGTTGAGGCAGGAGAATTGCTTGAACCTGGGAGGCATAGGTTGCAGTGAGCTGAGATCATGCCACTGCTCTCCAGCCTGGGCGACAAGAGCGAGACTCCATCTCAAAAAAAAAAAAAAAAAGTTTCACCTGTATATAAATTTAAGAATACTTGTAGTTAACGCTTCCCCCCCACCCCCACCCATTAAGACAGAGTCTCACTCTGTCGACCAGGCTGGAGTGCACTAGCGTCATCTCAGCTCACTGCAACCTCTGCCTCCCAAGTTCAAGTGATTCTCATGCCTCAGCCACCAGAGTAGCTGGGATTACAGGTGTGCACCACCACGCCCTGCTAATTTTGTATTTTTGATAGAGACGAGGTTTTGCTATGTTGGCCAGGTTGGTCTCGAACTCCTGACCTCAAGTGATCCACCTGCCTTAGCCTCCCAAAGTGCTGGGATTACAGACATAAGCCACTGCGCCCAGTCACCTCTCATTAGCTGATGTATCTTGGGTTTGTGTGCCCCCTTATTTCAATCTTAATATGTGTATGGAAAAAAGGACATTATGTCTTAAAATTTTAACTGTGAGTTGGTGACCAGAATTTTATTTTTAGTTGTAGGAAACATCTTAGATCCTCTCTTGGGAATTCAGACATTCTTCCCCTCCCCCAACCTGCACCCATGTTTAATGTTGTAATTCTTAAGTTATCCACATTTCATCATGGAAACATTGTCGTCAGGAAATGCCATATTTATTACCCTGTCATATATCTTAAACATGTGAGAAAAATACTTTAGTAAAAGTATTTGTTTTCTTTAGTTGCAGAGCTTGAAGTGAAAACCAGAGAAAAATTAGAAGCTGCTAAGAAAAAAACAAGCTTTGAGATTGCAGAGCTTAAGGAGAGATTAAAAGCAAGTCGTGAAACTATAAATTGTTTAAAAAATGAAATCAGAAAACTTGAAGAAGATGACCAAGCAAAAGACATATAAACAGTTCTCATGAGAACTTGGTAGTAAGCTAAACTGAAAATAAGGTGGGCTTCACTGGAGAAATGGACTTACTGCAAATGCTGTGATGTTTCTTAGAGGAACTTCATATACAGCTGTTGACCATGAATTTCTTAGCAATAGGAATTTGTACTATTTAAGCAATCTTTAATGGAAAATATGTGTGTAAGAATGGATGCTATATAGGTATTTTACCAACCCATTTTAAGAAAATTCTATGATATTAAGCACAGTTTTTAAAAATGTTTATTGTAGTATATGTATAGCTTATTACCCTTTTGACAGGCATCAAAATTTCATTATAAAGTATTACTTGTACAAATTTTGTACTTCTTTAGTGGCTAGAATTAGTGAAGAAACTTAATGTGTATATTTAATTTCTTCAAGTTCTTACCTGCCCCCATCCTTTTTTGTATATGATGTGTCCAGTAAGTATTCAATAAATGTAGTTTACAGATCCTATTTCTCCCTCCTGATGTGTTTCTTCCTCTTTGAAGACTTTCTGGAACTCCCTCAATACAGTTAAAGTATCTTTATAGTATTGTGACATCACATCTCTTATTGGCACTCATTGTCGCATGTAGAAGCTCTTTGATGGTAAAGATTATATCTTAAGTTTTGTTCTGCCTATATCATAGTGTCATTATTCTTCACATACAAATATATTAATTCTTAGGGGCCAGGCATGGCGGCTTACGCCTGTAATACCAGCACTTTGGGAGTCCAAGGCAGGTGGATCACCTGAAGTCAGGAGTTCAAGACTGGCCTGGCCAACATGGTAAAACCCCATCTCTACTAAAAATACAAAAATTAGCCAGGCATGGTGGCACATGCCTGTAATCCCAGCTACTTGGGAAGCTGAGGCAGGAGAATTGCTTGAACCCAGGAGGCAGAGGTTGCAATGAGCTGAGATCACGCCACTGCACTCCAGCCTGGGCGGCAGAATGAGACTTCATCTCAAAAAAAAAAAAAAAATTAAATCTTTCATAGAGACATATGGGAAGCAGCTGCAGCTGTGCATTAGCTTCATGCACTACTCCTACCCTCTCCTCTTTAGCCTCTTCTGTTCAAATCCACACAGCAAGTCCTCTACTTTTAGACTCATCTACTTTTAACATTCATTAATACCTAATCTTTAAAGGTATGTTGGCTGAACCATCTTGGCAACCTAGGAACAAAAATACTTTTTTATCTGTCTGCCCTGATGGATTGGTTACTTTTTACTTTGTGGCTTTATTTTTTAAAGTTGTGACTTTTGCAATTATTATGGAGGATGTACAAAGGCCTCTGTGGTCTGAAATTTCGGCCAGAGCCCTCTGGGGCTTGATGGTGGTACTTTCAATTGTGCCAGGCATCATTCATTTTCTCTGCACCTTTTATCCCCATGCCTACCTGCCAGGCTTATCATGATAAGATTTCCCAAGTATCGCATAGGGCCTGGGGATAGATCAGGAAAATAACATGAGGGAAAAGCCCCATTCTACTTGAGGAGTTGGCACAGGCAATCATTATTCTAGTCAGCTGCCCACGAATGTATTGGTTCAAATGTATTGGTTCATAAAACTAAAGTCCATGTAGGTAGGTCTGACTTCATGCATGCATACAAGGGTTCAAAATATGTGGTCATGGCTCAATCTTACTCTCTATTGGCTCTTATTTCTTTGTTGGCTTTAATCTTGGTAGGATTTCACTGTGACATTGCAAAGAACTCCTGTAACTCAATAAAAATTTTTTTAATGGGCAAAGGATTTGAACAGAGATTTCTCCAAGGAAGGTATCAAAATGGTCAATAAGCATATGAGGAGATGCTCTGCATCATTCATCATTAGGAAAATGTGAAGTGTATCGCATTTCACTTCACATCCACCATTGTGGCTATAATTTTAAACAAAATACCCAAAAAAGTTGATGAGGCTATAGAAAAATTGGAACCCTCATATATTGCTGGTAGGAATGTAAAATGGTTCAGCCACTTTGGAAAACAGCTTGGCAATTCTTCAAAAAGTTAAGCATAATTATCCAATGACACAACAATTCCACTCCTAGATATATACCCAAGAGAAATGAAAACATGTTCACACAAAAACTTGTACATCAATGTTCATAGCATCATGCATGACTGCCAAAAAGGAAACAATTCAAAATGTCCATCAACTAATGAATGCATTTTTTAAATGTGGTATCTCCATATGATAGATTTTCCCATTCTTTTATAAGTGGAAAGAGAATATTTCCCAAGGGATAATTTCTTCATCTAGACAATAAGAAGAATTAAAGAAACTCAGCTAATTAGGCAGCTCACTTCTTGAAAGAAGATCAAAGTATTAGTTTCATTTTTTCTAACCAATGTAGGTGTTTGGTGCTGTTATTCATATTTTACAGATAGGAGATTAAGGAACTATAGCTTGGTGTTGAGTCAACCAGCAGTTACTCAGATGAGTAATCTGCTATGGGCTTTTCTGTCTCATTAATACTTAATTCTCATGTTCAAAGTGTTAGCATTTTTAATTGTCTGTTGCTCATGCCTAAATACTTCTCAAACCTCCTTCCTTTAACTAATTGTAGTAACTTAATACTATATCAAATATGAACATCAGGTAGCATAAATGCAAAACACTGTAGATAAAAATCTTGCTAGCCATTAATAACATGTAAGAAAATTCTAGTATTAATTTTGTTGGATGGAATACTAAAGCATAGATATTTGAAATCTCTAGAAAACATTTCAGGTACCTGTTCCTTAGCATTACCCCTAATGTCTTCAGTTTTGTTTTGTTTTGTTTTTTAATAATAATAGATTTCAAACTCTTGAGATCAAAACCAAAGAAAATGACTGGGCATGGTGGCTCACGCCTGTAGTCCCAACACTTTGTGGGGCTGAGGATCTCTTGAGGGCAGGAGTTTGAAACTAGCCTAGGTCACATAGTGAGACCTGGTCTCTACAAAAAAAACCAAACAAACAAAAGACACAAACAACAGAAAAATTGGCCAGGTGTGGTGGCATCCACCTGTAGTCCTAGCTGCTCAGGAGGCTGAGGCAGGAGGATTGCTTGAGCCCAAGAGTTTGAGACTACAGTGAGCTATGTGTGGGCCACTGCATTGCAGCCTGGTGACAGAGCAAGACCTTGTCTCTTTTAAAAAAAGAAAGAAAATGAGATCATACAAGTACCAGCTAGGAAAAAAAAAAGAGTAAATTGCTTCCCCTCAACCCAGCCCCTGCCAACAATTGATAAAGAAAAGAAAAAAAAAAAAGGTAAATATTATTTTCTTGGAGTTGGAAAGTACAATGCAAAACCCAGAAATCATAAAGTTTTGGATCTCAAATTTGAATGAGTTTAGGAATCTCTTGAGAGTTGCTAAATCTGGGGAAAGGGGATGGTAGGGGGAGTAGAAATACAGATGAAACAAGATTGGCTGTTGCTAATTATTAAAGCTTGATAATAGGTACATGGGAATTTATTGTTTTCTGAACTCTCGTGTGTGCTTGAGATTTTTCATAAAAAGGTTTTTAATAATGTCAGAGAAAATCATTTTTTCTCCCTGAAGTCAACTGATGAAGAATAAGTCAATCTTATCTTGATCTTACTGGATCAGCACACTGTCTCACAAGATGACAGTAGCTTCCAATTGCATGGTTAGCATGTTTACTTGTATGTTTTATTTTAATAATTCTAGCAAATTCTTCAGTACTGATCATTGAATGTAATAGAAGTTTGGAAGAATGGATGGGAGGGAGGAAAAAACAAAGGGGGCAGTTAGGAAAGGAGAAAGAAAACCCCTTAGGGAGCTTCTTAATAGTTCAGAGTACAATAGTAAAGACATTTGATTAGGTCTAGAATGGAGCCCAGGAATTTGCATTTGCACAAGGCATCCAGGTGATTTGAGAAATGGCATAATGGCACAACTGCACAAATTGTATTACATAAAATGCAACCCTTCTAAATGGAGACAAAAAATAAAAATAGCCTAAAGGAAAAGTGGGACATATATGTGTCTAAAGCTTTAAGATTAAAAGAATTATTATGAATCATTAAGGAAAACAAATGAACCACTGGCAAAAGGAGCAAAAGACTTGAATAGGCAGTTCACTGAAGAGGACATAAAAATAACCAATTTTATGCTTCGTCTCACTAAATCTTAAGAATATGCATATTTAAATAGCAAATATTTCTCATCCATGTAGGATGAGATAAATGGTACAGATAAACTGATAACAGAGAAGACATCACTGATGATACCAACAGAGAGACCAGAAACAGGCCATCTGGAAGATGGAGATAGTGTGTTTGTTTGTTTGTTTGTTTGTTTGTTTGTGGTAGAGTCTCACTCTGTTGCCCAAGCTGGAACACTGCAGCCTTGACCTTTCTGGCTCAGGTGATCCTCCCAACTCAAGCTCCTCAAACTATAGGCCTTCACCACCATGCCCAGCTAATTTTTGTATATTTTGTAGAATTTCGCCATAGTCTTGAACTCCTGGGCTCAAGCAATCGGCCCACCTTGGCCTCCCAAAATGCTGCGATTACAGGCATGAGCCACCATGCCTAGCTTGAGATAGAGTATCATTTTTTATCTGAAATTCAAATTTAACTAAACATACTATACTTTTATTTGCTAACTCTACTTTTTAAATTTTAGATTTAAAAAAAGCAAAGCAAAACAAAAAAAGACAGTGATAGCAAGTGAGGAAACAGCTACCCTCATACAATGATGGGATTATAAATTAGTTCAATGTTTTCAGAGGATAATTTAGGAATATCTGCTAAAAGACTGACTCAACAGTTTCACTTTTAAAATTCACACTTGTTTACTTTTTTATTGAAAGCAAGTAGAGTTTTAGGAATATATTATTTATTTTCACAGAAGGAAGAAGGGAAAAGGAAAAAAATAAGAAAAAATGTATTACTTACAAACCATTTATCCAAATATGCAAGATATGTACAAGAATTTTCATTACAGCATTATTTACAATAAAAAATAGAAAAAAAAATGGAAGCAAGGCAAATGTCTATCAATAGAAGCTGTATAAATATGATATATCATGATACAATGGAATCCTCTGTGGTTGTCAAAATGAATAAAGCAGATCTATGCTGGTTTGTTGGTGGGGGAGGGAAAGCAGTTTGAAAAACAGTGTTTATGATTTAATTTTTATAAGTAATATGTTAGTAAGCAAAGAAAAGTAACTTGGAGGAATGAATCATCACCAAACTTAACAGGAAGAATTTTAGGGACTAACTATCTTCATTATGTATCTAAATATTTAGCTTTTTAAAAAATAAGAATGTATTTCATTTGAGTGAAAGAGAATAAAAATAGTTTAAAAATTAAATGAAAAGGAAAAACAGATGTCTTGATTAACAGAACATTGCCTCCTATGATGAAGTATCATGTGACAGTTCAAAGAAATTAAACATGACCTGTAAATGATGTAAGGGACCAGGGCCAGGACTCCTTCAGGAACTTTACTGAAGGGACTTACGGGTAAGGTCCTTGCTCTTCAGTGCATTGTCCGGTGAACTCGGATAAATAACATTATGGTCCTAATGTAAAAATAGGCAGTTAAAGGTATGAGTTTCATCTATCTCCTGCCCCAGCCTGGACTCTCTGATCTGGCTTTTAAATTATTTTTAGTTATTTTTACTTAAGATAAATTTTAACCAATTGACCACCTAGATTTCAGTAACCTTATGTAATACGCCTCATGTCAATCCCCAACTCTAGGTAGCCCTCCTGGATCTCCACCCTAATCTGTTTACTCTTTCTCACTTTCACTGGCTATCCTGAGTTAACTGTTCTCTACCCTCAACACGGCTTCATTGCTCTTTAGTAATTCCTTAGTCTACCCTTAGTAAATTCTTTATTGTTGCTGTCTGAAAATTTCCAGTCTACTGAATCACCAGTCTGCTTATTCACTAAATGAATAGAGTCATAAAGCTGGGAGCTAATCATCTAACTTAATTCCCTCATTTGATAAGGGAGTAGAGCCATGAAGAAATTAAATGACTTTCAGAGTCACACAATCTGTTGGGACAGAGATTCAATTTTAATTCAGCATTTCCTGACTGAACAGTCATGGTACAGCTCCCCCAAAGCTTAGAGGAGAGTGTGCAAACTGGAAATCAACTGGGAAACAAACTTTCCAAGAAAGAAGAAATCTGTAAGCTGAGGTTTACTGTTACTGTTATAGTCCAATCCCTATTATTAAAATTTTGGCTCATTCTGGTTAAATCATGTTCTCATGATTAATGAGTTAAATCTGGTTAACTCATGTTCTCAAAATTAATGAGAACATGAGTTAATCTGGTTAAGTCATGTTCTCAAAATTAATGAGAATTGTCACTCCTATTTGGTTTAATTACATTCATGAATTGAAACCATGAACCTATTTACTCTTATTTTGCACATCAGCAGATGACCTCAGTTCTTACATCATTGAGATCACTGATGCTATTCAAATTGATTCTGTAAACTTCCATCCATACAAAGTTTCTCTTTGTTCTCACCAAATCCTGCTTTCTTTCATCTCCCTAAATGTTCTCACCATCTGTAATTTTAATTCCAATTTATACTATATACTACTGCGAGTTTATAGTTAGGGGAAAATAAACTTTCCTGAGCCTCAGTTTGCTGTGGTAAACATACTACCTACCTCATGGAATTCTGTTAAAGGGTAAATGACATAGCACATGTAAAAGCGTGTTGAATGGTAAGAATAAAGAAGATAATAATGCTGGCCATCTGCTAAAATCCTTGACAAAATACTAGCAAACCAAATCCAGCAACATAAAAAGGATAATAAGTCCCATTATCAACTGGGATTTATCTCAGGAATGCAAGGTTGGTTCGGCATATACAAATCCATAAGTGTAATACACTATTATGAGCTGAATTGTGTCCCTCTTCCAATTCACATATTGAGCCCTAACCCCTAGTACCTCAGACTGTGACTGTTTTTGAAGATAGTGTCAAAGAAGTAATTATAATCATTAGGTTGGGCCCTAATCTAATATGACTCGTGATATAGTTTGGCTGTGTCCCCACCCAAATCTCATTTTGAATTGTAGCTCCCATAATCCCCACTTGTTATGAGAGGGACCCAGTGGAGGTAGTTGAATCATGGGGGCTGGTTTTTCCTGTGCTGTTCTCAAGATAGTGAATAAGTCTCATGAGATCTGATGGTTTTATAAAGGGTAGTTCCCCTGCACACGCTCTCTTGCCTGCCACCATGTAAGACATGCCTTTGCTCATCTTTCACCTTCCACCATGATGTGAGGCCTCCCCAGCCATGTGGAACTGTGAGTCCATTAAACCTCTTTTTATTTATAAATTACCCAATTTTGGTATGTCTTTATTAGCAGCATGAAAATGGACTAATACAACTGGTGTCCTTGTAAGAGGAGACTAAGACACAGACACTCACAGAAGGAAGACCATATGAAGACACAGGGAGAAGACACCCATCTACAAGCCAAGGAGAGAGGCCTCAGGAGAAACTAATCCTGCCCACAACTTGATCTCAGACTTATAACCTCCAGAATTGTGGGAAAATAAATACCAAATACCTGTATGTGGTAGTTTGTTATGGCAGCCTTAATAACTAACATATAGACTATATTAATAGAACAAAGGACACAAAATACACATGATCATCTCAATAAATGCAGACAAATCATTTGACAGAATCCAATACCCGTTTATAATTAAAAAAACACTCAACGAATTAGTAATATAAGAGAACTTCCTCAGTGGGAAGCATCATACATAGTGGTAAAAGACTGGATTCTTTCCCCATAAGATTAGGAAAAAGATAAGGCTGTTCACTCTTTCCACATCTATTCAACACTGTGTGGGAGGTTCTAGCCAGAGCAATTTGGCAAGCAAAAAGAATAAAAGTCATCCAGATTAGAAAGAAAGAAGTAAAATGATCTCTATTTGGAGATGACATAATCTTGTGTAAAGAAAACCCTAAGGAATACACACACACACACAAAAAAACTATTAGAGGTAATAAATGGATGCAGCAAAATTGCAGGATGAACGATTATATACAAAAATCAATTAGTTCCATACTCCAGCAATGAACAATCTGAAAATAAAAATTTTAAAAAAATTTCATTTATAATAACATCTAAAAAAATAAAATACTTGGGAATATAACACCTAAAGTGCACTCAACCAAATAAAAAATAGACAAATTGACTGGATGCAGTGGCTCACACCTGTAATCCCAGCACTTTGGGAGACAGGGTGGGTGGATTGCTTGAGCCCAGGAGTTCAAGACCAGCCTGGGCAACATGGCAAAATCCTGTCTCTACTAAAAAAATATAAAAATTAACTGGGCATGGTGGTGTGCACCTGTAGTCCCAGCTACTTGGGAGGCTGAGGTGGGAGGATCGCTTGAGCCCAGGAGATGGAGGTTGCAGTGAGTCAGGATCATGCTACTGCACTCCAGCCTGGGCAACAGAACAAGACCCTGTCTCAAAAAAAAAAAAAAACGGCAAATTGATCTTCATCATTAAAAACTTTTGTGCTTTGGCCGGGTGTGGTGGCTCACGCCTGTAATCCCAGCACTTTAAGAGGCTGAGGCAGGTGGATCATGAGGTCAGGAGATTGAGACCATCCTGGCTAACATGGTGAAACACTGCTTCTACTAATACAAAAAATTAGCTGGGCATGGTGGCGGGTGCCTGTAGTCCCAGGTACTCAGGATGCTGAGGCAGGAGAATGGCGTGAACCCGGGAGGCGGAGGTTGCAGTGAGCCAAGATCACACCACTGCACTCCAGCCTGGGCAACAGAGTGAGACTCCGTCCCCCCCAAAAAAACAAACAAACAAACAAAAAAACTTCTGTGCTTCAAAGGACATTCTAAAAAAAGTCAGAAAAAAAAAACAAACCCACGAAATGGGAGAAAATATTTGCAACTCATATATCTGACAAGAGTCGAGTATCCAGAATATATAAAGAACTCTTACAACTCAACAATAAAAAGACAATTAAAAATTGGGCAAAAAATTTGAATACACATTTCTCCAAAGAAGATATTCAAATGGCCAATAAGCATATAAAAAGATGCTTAACATCATTTGGAAATACAAATCAAAATGATGATAACACTTCACATCCACTAGAATGGCTGCAATAAAAGAGACAGACAATAGTAAGTGTTGATGAGGATGTGGAGAAATTGAAACTCTCATATATTTCTGGTAAAAATGTAAAAAGATGCAACTGCTGTAGAAAAAGTTTCAGAGTTCCTTAAAATGTTAAACATAGAGTTACCATATGACCTCAAAATTCTTCTAGATATATACCCAGGAGAATTGAAAACATGTCCACACAAAAACTTGTGCATGAATATTTATAGGAGCATCATTCAGAATAGCTAAAATTGGAAACAATCCCCATGTCCATCAACTGATGAATGAATAAATCGAATGTGGTGTATCAATACAATGGATTATTACTCAGCAGTAAAAATGAATGATGTGCTAAACATGCAGAATGAATCTTATAAACATGCCAAATGAAAGATGCCAGACACAAAGGCCACCTACTGTATGACTCCACTTATATGAAACATCCAGAATAGGTAAATCCATAGAGACAGAAAGTGATTAGTGGTTGCCAGGAGATGGGTGGGGAAGGGAGGATGGGGAGTGACTGGGTGCAGAATTTTTTTACGTGGCGGTGATGGAAAAGTTCTTGAATTAAATAGTGGTGATCGTTACACAACCTTGTGAATATACTAAAAACAACTGACTTGTATACTTTATGGTATGTGAATTATATCTCAATTAAAAAAAAAAAGCTTAGTGTTACCATTTACTGAATACTTTATGTGCCCCATACTCAAGACAAGCCAGTGAGTACATCTCTTATCCCCACTTAGCAAAACAGGTTCAGGGAGATTAAGTGCTTTGCCCAAGGTCACATACTAGGAAGTCATAGAGCTGAGACACACAAAGCCCTAACATTCACTTAGCCACCAAGCTGTATTGATCAAAAGTTTTTAATAGTTTCCATTACATATCTAATAATACTCAATAAAATAGAAATATTTATTGTGTGTATATAAACAATACATTAATATGTATGCCATATATATATATATGTATATCTCCTACAAATTGATGAAAAAAATTCAATAGAAAAATGGGCAAAGAATATGATCAAGTAATTCACACATACAAAAAATACAAATGGTAATTAATAAATATTTGAAAAGGTATATGGCCAGGCATGGTGGCTTACGCCTGTAATCCCAGCACTTTGGGAGGCTAAGGCATGAGGATCACATGAGCCCAGGAGTTTGAGAACAGCCTAGGCAACATAGCAAGACCCCCCCGCCCAATTTAAAAAGTTTAAAAAAAAAAAAAAGGATGTATGAATTCACTAGTAATCAGAGAAATGCAAATTAACACAAGACAATTGTTGGTTCATTATAAAGACAAAATTTAAAGATGTCTAATATTCAGCCACAGAGAGTGAAAGGAACTTGGTACTCATACATTGTTGGTGTGCATTAAGAGTAATAGCCACTTAATATTACCTATCAGAATTTAAAATTTACTGAGTGCAGTGGTGCGTGCCTGTAGTCCCTGCTATTCAGGAGGCTGAGGTGGAAGGATCGCTCAAGTCTAGGAATTCTGACCTGTAGTGCACTATGCTGATCTGGTGTCCACACTAAGTTTGGCATTAATGTGGTGACCTCCGGGAGCAGGGGACCACCAGGTTACCTAAGGAAGGGTGAGCCAGCCCAGGTCAGAAATGAAGCAGGTCAGAACTCCCATGCTGATGAGTAGTGGGATCATACCTGTGAATAGACACTGCACTCCAGCCTGGGCAACACAGTGAGACCTTGTCTCTTAAAAAAAAAAAAAATTGAAAATTTACCATTTGATCAAGTAACTTCACTGATAGGAAATACTTTCATGTGTAAGGATGTTCATTGCTTGTTTTAATAGTGAAAAAATAGATATAAACCAAATGTCTACCTATGTCTACATAATTTCATGTAAATTCTCAGAAAAATATTACCAGGAGTTATTTTGGGGGAAAGCAGTGAAACTGGAGCTGGTGTTGGGGAGCATGAGTAAAGGGCTAGCAAAACTGTTTCCCTTTCTGCATGAGAACTCGACCTTTGGTGGCCAGTAAGGATCTTGCTGTGGGAACCTAAGCAGTGCTGCTAGGTAGACTGCTGCAGGGAGTCCTGGAAGGACATGCCCATGGCCCGATGGCAATCTATGCTTCCTTTGGAGTATCCGCTGAAGTATCTGAGTGTGGTCTAGATTGTGAGTTCATGTTTAGTTGAACCTAAAAAGACCTCCTGTTGGGCAGAGCTGGAAATTAAAAGTAAATTTGTAAGTTAAAAATTAGTTCATATACACCATCCATTTCAGCCAGTAGGATCTTCATGCTGTTCCTTAAATGTACTCTGAGGTTTCTTGTCTCTCACACGTTCTACTTTCTTTTGTTAAAGTATTTCCTTCCTTCCAGGCTGAAATTGCCTGCCAGCAAGTAAGCTCACCCTCCTCTAAACTACCTTAGCATCTTGCTTGCCTCTGTTTCACGGTGTTCAGCTCACCTAGAAAGGGAAAACTGGAATGGGTGATCTCCCAGATGCAGCTGTGAACCTAGGATTTTAACCCTAGATTTGTATTCCCATTCTTCAGACGGTAAGCTTTTTGGTGAAAGAGGAGGCGTTAGTCTTGTTTATCTTGGTAAGTGTGTGTAAAGCCCTTGGTAAGCCTCTCATCTGGGAAGTGCTCCATGGCATTTTACTGTTCCCTGCCAATTAACTTCCAGGGCCCGTCCTGGAACTATTCCACACCAGGGCCTAAGTCTAGTTACAGATCTTGGCTTTTCCTCTCTCTATTCTAGCCTGTCTCAATGCCAGGCACAGAGTCTGGTCCAGTTGTGTTCCAAGATATCACAAATAAATACATAGCTCACTACATGTCAAAAGTGAAAACCCCTAGATTTGGCCTAAAATGGGGCCATTCGTTGTGGGCCTAATTATGCTAGGGTTGTTCCTATACCTAAAATTTTAGGAGGTTAGACAAATATATAGTATGCTTTTTGTTGAGGTTTGGTGACCATAACTAAGCTATTTTTGTATCTCCAAAGAGCAACCTAAAGTCCCAGGACTGCTCTGTCCAGTCTTCTAGAGTTGGGATCCACAAACTTTTTCTGAAAAGGGCCAGATAGTAAGCATTTTATGGTCTCTGTCGTAGATCCTAAACTCTGCTATTGTAGCACAAAGGCAGTCAGACATAGATGAGTGCTGAGTTCCAATAAAATTTATTTATAGACACTGAAATTTTGAATGCCATATAATGCCATGTATCACAAAATATTTTCCTTCCTTTGCTATTTTTCTTTCTTTCTTTTCTTTTTTTTTTTTTTTTTTGAGATGGAGTCTTGCTTTGTCACCCAGGTTGGAGTGCAGTGGTGCAGTCTTGGCTCACTGCAACCTCCATCTCCTGGGCTCATGCAATTCTGCCTCAGCCTCCTGAGTAGCTGGGATTACAGGCATGTGCCACCACGCCTGGCTAATTTTTGTATTTTTAGTAGAGACAGGGTTTCACCATATTGGTCAGGCTGGTCTTGAACTCCTGACCTCAAGTGATCTACCCACCTCAGCCTCCCAAAGTGCTGGGATTACAGGCGTGAGCCACCACGCCCGGCTTGCTATTTTTCAAACATTGAAAAAATGTAAAAAATATTCTTTATTCACAAGCCATACAAAACCTTGCAGCAGGCCAGATGCAGCGCAAGGACTGTAGCTAGCTGGCCCCTGTTCTGATGTTTCTCTAGACTGGGACTGTATAAGAATCACCAACCCCAAGGGGACCTTTGTGATTTGCTCTGTGAATTCAAAGTAAAAACCTGAGATTTGGCCTTTGTAAATGTTCTGAACTGACAAGATTAGTTCAAGTTACCCTATTAAAAGGGATTTGCATCCAGGTGTGGTTGCTCACACCTGTAATCCCAGCACTTTGGGAGACCTAGGCAGGCAGATCACTTGAGGTCAGGAGTTTAAGACCAGCCCGGCCAACATGGCAAAACCCTGTCCCTACTAAAAATACCAAAATTAGCCAGGCGTGGTATCGCACGCCTATAATCCCAGCTACTCGGGAGGCTAAGGCAGCAGAATCCCTTGAACCTGAGAGGCAGAGGTTGCAGTGAGCCAAAATCGTGCCACTGCACTCCAGCCTAGGCAACAGAGCAAGACTCTGTCTCAAAAAAAAAAAAAAAGAAAAAAAGAGGGGGCAGAATTTGCAGAACCATGACATACAAGCACAATGGCTTATTTCTTCTATTTAATGTTATGCAAAGCTTGTCACCTACCTGTTCATGAATGTGGCAAAGGAATTGCATCATGAGGAATTCATTTCCTAACCTCCTAAGTGCATTGCAATTTGGCTTCTTCCTTCACTTTGATACCCAAATTATCAGACATCTTCTTGAGGCCACATCCAAACAAGCAGTTTTCAGGGCTTATTTTATATGACCTCTCAGAAGCATTTGACAAAATTGACCACTTTCTTTTACTTGAAAATTCCTTTCTCTTTCTTCTCTCTCTTTCACCATGATTTTTTTGTTTCTTTTTTTTCCTCCAGTCCTTTTGGCCAATTCTTCTCAGTCTCTTTCAGCATTTCCTCTTCCTCTGTTCATTCTGTAAATGTGTCTTATTCTCTAAGGTTCTATTCTGAACCATCTTCTTTTCCCCTTACTTACCCATGGTTTCAAACACAATTTCACGCTAATTGTCACAAGTCTAGATTTCCAGCCCAAATTCCCATGCTGAGCTCTAGACTCTCCATTCTGTTACCTCCTAAATGATATATTTGGGTGTTCTGCAGGCACCTCAATTGAGCATGTTCCAAGCTTAACTTATCTCCTATTTCAATCTTCTCCCCATCATGAATTTCCTACTCTGTTAGATGGCATTAGTACCAATGCAGTTGCTTGTTGCTATGGTTTAAATGTCCTTTCCAAAGCTCGTGCTAAAATTTGGTTGCCATTGTGACAGTGTTGGGTGAGACCTTTGGGAGCAGAGCCCTCATTGAATGGATTAAAGCTGTTTTCTCAGAGGTGGGTTAGTTATTTTGGGAGTGGGTTAGTTATTGTGGGAGTGGACTCCTGATGAAAGATGAGTTTGGCCCTCATTTTCTCTCTGGCTCTTGCACTCACTTGCCTTTCTGCTTTCATCGAATGGGAGGATAGAACAAGAAGACCCTGACCAGATGGCCAAGCAGATGCCAGTGCCATACCCTGGGACTTCCCAGCCTCCAGAACCATGAGCGAAATATATGCCTTTTCTTTGTAAATTACCCAGTCTGTTACTCTGTTTTAGCAGTTGAAAATGAACTAAGACACCCATGTTGTCAATAGTAGATAGGATCTCTCCATTCTAGGTTCCTCTGGTGAGAACTGCAACCCTCCACTCACATAGGTGGGTTCTGTGGCCATGTTTATATTATGTGACCCTTCCCTCTGCCTTGATTAGACTTGGGTGGGTGCTTAACCCAATCCGGATTAATCAGACTGTCTCCTGGGATTATCTTCAGCTACTGCTAATTCTTGAACTAGAGCTGGTACAGCTATGTGCATGGAGAAGAGCAGAAAGCTGGTATATAGAGAGAGAATGAAGTTGATACACAGAAAGAAGCAGAGAGAGAGAGGAAGATACGGCCTTGGATAGAGTAATCTTGTCTCTGCTCTTCTCACTCACCACCTGCCTGTGTCAAAGCCTGCAGGGCAGCCCATGTACCCAGATCACCACTTTCTGGATACAAATAGTTTTGCCTCTAAACTTTTGTAATTGATTCCTATGCAGTAGTTCCCACCCTTATCTGTGGGGGATACATTCCTAGACACCCAGTGGATGCCTGAAACTTCAAATAGAACTAAACTCTATAAGCACTATGTTCTTTCCTATGCATACATGTCTATGATAAAGTTTAATTTATAAATTAGGCACAGTAAGAGATTAACGACAATAACTAATAATAAAATAGAACAATTATAACAATGTATTGGTCTCGATTTCATGGATAGATGATTCATTCTTACTAAAGAAGACCTTTAGTGACCTCAGCGTACAGTTTTTTTTCTTTCCTTATTAAGTCAAAAACTTTCACCTTTTCACTTAAAAGAAGCACTTACGGCTTCTCTTTGGCATATTCAAATTGCCAGCATCACTACTCTTGCGCTTTGGGGCCATTATTAAGTAAAATAAGGGTTACTTTGAACACAAGCACTGTGATACTACGACAGTGAATTTGATAACAGGCTGACTACTAAGTGACTAATAGGCGGGTAATGCAGACAGCGTGGATCTGCTGGACACAGGGATGATTCATGCCCTGGGCAGGATGGAGTGGAACTGCAAGAGATTCCATCCTGCTACTCAGAACAGTGTACAATTTAAAACTTTATGAAACTTTCTGGAATTTTCCATGGAATATTTTTGGACTGCAGTTGACCACAGGTAATTGAAACTGAAATGGAAAGCAAAACCGTGAATACGGGAGGACCACTATATAAATTCCACCTATTGAATTATCTGATATGAGTTTTGTGTTCCTGGCTGGATCTTGACTGAGGTAGCTAACTTTGCAAATAAGCACATACAACTCTACATCATTTAAAACCTGCCTATGTTCCACTATATGAATGTTCTATGATTTATTTAATCATTGGCTATTGATAAACATTTGTTTCCAATTATTTTGCTACTACAATCAGTGGTGTAATGACCATCTTTGCATATGTATGCATTTCTATAGGACAAATTTCTAGAAGTAAAATTGCTAGGTCAAGGAGAGTATGCATCTTAAATTTTTAATAATATTGTCAAATTTCTCTCAAAAGTTTGTACCTAATAATGCTTTCAACAACTGTGCGTTAGAGTACCTGTTTCTGTACACCCTGACCAACTCAATTGCAAATCTCACTGATGAAAGTATTACATCAATTTTGTTTAAGTATTTTGTTTGTTTTTTTGAAACAAAGTCTCACTATGTGGCTCAGGCTGGAGTACAGTGGCACAAAAGTGTTTCACTGCAGCCTCCACCCCCTTGGTTCAAGTGATTCTCCTACGTCAGCCTCCTAAGTAGCTGGAACCACAGGTGCATGCCACTATGCCTGGATAATTTTTAAATTTTTTTATAGAGATAAGTTTTCACCATGTTGCCCAGGCTGGATATTTTATTGTTTTGCTTTGCATTTTTAAAAATTCTGAGTAAGATTGAGTATTTTTTGTACTTATTGTTCATCTGCATTTCTTTTTCTGTGAACGGCCATGTAACTGGTTTTATTTTTTGCTTTTTTCACTTAATATTATATGTCATGAACTTTTTCTAGAATAATTAAAAACATGATCAACAAGAACTGCATATTAGTCCATTCTATGATTATACCATAATTATTCTTTTATTATTAGACATTTAGATTGTTTCCAATTTTTCTTTTTTCTTTTCTTTCTTTTTTTGAGACAGGGTCTTGCTCTGTCACCCAGGCTGGAGTGCAGTGGTGTGATCACAGCTCACTGCAGCCTCGACTTCCCAGGCTCAAGTGATCCTCCTGCCTTAGCCTCCCAAGTAGCTGGGACCACAGGCATGCACCACCACACCTGGCTAATTTTTGTATTTTTTGTAGAGACAGGGTCTTGCTATATTACCCAGGCTGATCTTGAACTTCTGGCCTCAGGTAATCCTCCCACCTTGCCCTCCCAAACTGCTGGGATTACAGGTGTAAGCCACCACACCTGGCCCAATTTCTCTTAACATTTATACATTCTTTTTTTTTTTTTTTCTAGAATCAAGAATGATTGAGAATAGGAACGGCTCAAGACGTTCACAACTAAGGCCATGAATAGCTAGGAATTCCCTTTAAGAGCAAAGGTTTTATCATCAGACAGACCTACTTGCAGGGTGAGTAACTTCTCTAAGCTTCCATTTCCTCCTCTGAGGACTAAATGAGAAAGTGTATGGAACGTACTTTGCACAGTCCCTGGTACATGGTAGGTGCTGAATACATATTAATTAATTTAATATAAAATGAAAAATGGGCCTGTATTTTATGAAAAATATTATAAGAGACACTTTTGATCTAGAATTCTTTTGTTTGTTTTTCAGGATTAGCATATATTGAGGCTGGGAATTGTTTGCCATATCCCTATTTCCTGGATAGCTACTGTGAAGTCCTGCAGTGTTGTCACTTTCTTAATTGGACTTGTGAAGGGCCCAGAAAACTCCGTGCAGGATATTGTGAACCATAGCACTGAGAATGTCATGATGCAGATGGAAGCTCCTGATACCAGTGGTCCAGTAGTGTATTCTAAGTACAAATACTTTTTGTCTTTTTTTTTTTTTTTTTTTTTTTTTTTTTTTGAGATGGACTTTTGCTCTTGTTGCCCAGGCTGGAGTGCAATGGTGCAATCTCAGCTCACCACAACCTCTGCCTCCCAGGTTCAAGCAATTCTCCTGCCTCAGCCCCCTGAGTAGCTGGGATTACAGGCATGTGCCACCACGCCTGGCTGATTTTGTATTTTTAGTAGAGACAGGGTTTCTCCATGTTGGTCAGGCTGGTCTCGAACTCCCGACCTCAGGTGATCCGCCCACCTTGGCCTCCCAAAGTGTTGGGATTACAGGCGTGAGCCACTGTGCCTGGCCACTTTTTGTCTTAACAATGGTTCTCACTGATTATTATGAGTTACGGATTGTTATGTTAACCACTGGGGTGGTGGGCTGAATCGGAAGAGAACTATCAAGAGTGTCTTATGTGGAGAGGATCTTGAGTTTTACAATCTTCTGGGAAAACTACTCCTGGGAGATACTGTTGGGCATTACAAGATCATCGGAGTCATCAAAGATCCTTCGAACTTACTAGTGACCCTTGAAAAGTTGAGACTAAGGAGAGTGTTGATCTAGTGCTAGTAACATCTTACATTTCTTTAGATTTGATACTAATTTCTCATTTTTATAGATGAGTGAATTCAGTGTGGATGACGGGAGAGAGATTGTAATGGTATAAATGCTTTGCTTGCTGTAGGTTGAGTATAGCTTGCCAAATGGGAGGTGTTAACACTTGTAAATTTGTAGATCAGAAATTATTGGGAAATAAAGGATGTGCGCATGTGCGTGCGTGTGTGTGTGCATGCATGTGTTTGAAGTTTTTGATACATGTTGCCAGGTTGCCCTGTGAAAAGTTTACTCCAGTTTGCCCTGGCACCAGCAGGCTGTGAGGATGCCCATTTCCTCAGACAAATTTCTCCAGTCAAGAGGCACCTTCCAGAGAATTGTATCATGGTGATACAATTGATGATCCCCCAGCCTATGGCCCAAGTAGTCTCCAGAACTGCAGGCTTGAGGCAGCTCATCGCTCCAGCCTGAGTAGATTCCTTGTCCATCAATGTGAAGTTAAAACTACAGACTAGACCTTTCAATATGCTCTCATTCCTCTCACAGCTATTTTTGGAGCATCTATTGTGTGTCAGGGGCCTTTTCCTGTCTTAGAGCTCGCCCATCAAAAATAGTGAGACTCACAGTTACACATCATTAGAAATGCCATAATATTTAGAAACTACTTAGGTCTTAGAGAACCCCAGTTTCAGATTCTGTGAACTTGAGTAGGTTACTGGATTTCGCTGAGGCTCGGTTTTCTCTTGTTTACAATCGAGATTTTAATATATATATCAGACGGCTGACTTACACTGCCTGGCATATCTAGACACTGTAGATATTAGCATAGGGATTAACAGTGTAGGCTTTGGAGTCAAGTTACTTGGTTTGAATCGTGGCTCCGTTGCACACTGGCTTTGTGATCACAGGCAAGTTATTCAACCTCTCTGTGCCTTACTTTCCTCATGTTTAAAGTAGTCATAATCATACTTGCATCATGGTGTTATTCAGAAGATCAACTGAGAGACGTATGTAAAGTATTTAGCATAGGACTTAGAACCTAGTTAATGCTCAATTAATATGTTATTTTTGGCCAGGTGTGGTGGCTTACGCCTATAATCCCAGCACTTTGGGAGACTGAGGTGGGCGGATCCCTTGAGGCTAGGAGTTGGAGACCAGCCTGGCCAACATGACGAAACCCCGCCTCTACCAAAAATACAAAAATTAGCCAGCCATGGTGGTGCACACTTGTAGTCCCAGCTACTCGGGAGGCTGAGGCAGGAGAATCGCTTGAACTCGGGAGGCAGAGGTTGCAGTGAGCCGAGATTGTGCCACTGTACTCCAGCCTGGGCAACAGAGTGAGACTCTGTTTAAAAAAAAAAAAAGATATATATATATATTAACATGCTTCTTATTGAGGTATAATTTACATACTGTTATGGACTGAATTGTGTTCCCTCCAAAATACATATGTTGAAGTCCTAAACCCCAGTATCTCAGAAAATAACTGTGTTTGGACATAACATCTAAACATCTTTAGCATGCATGTGTGTATCTATATGTAATTAAAATTAGGTCATTAGGGTGGGCTTTAATCCAATATGACTGGTGTCCTTACAAAAATAGAAATTTGAACACAGCCACATACAGGAGGAATATGATGTGAAGACAAAGGGAGAAGACAGCCATCTATAAGCTAAGGACATGGACCTGGAACACATCCTTCCCTCCCAGCCCTCAGACAGAACCAACTCTGTAGATCAACCAACACCTTGACTTTCAGCCTCCAGAACTGTAAGAAAACTTTTCCTGTTTAAGCCACCCAGTCTGTGAAACTATATTATGGCAGCCCTAGCAAACTAACACACAAACCATAAAATTCACTCACGTTAGCATATAATTCAATGGTTTTTAGTAAATTTGCAGAGTTGTGCAACCACTACCACAATCTGATTTTAGAGTATTTTTGTCTCCTCTAAAGAAGCCTTTTTGCCATTTGCAGTCACTCCCTACTCCCACTTTCAGCTCCAGGCAACCACTCATCTTCTTTGTACCTCAATAGATTTGCCTTTTCTGGGCTTTTCATATAAATCATCTCCACTGAATAGGAAATTCTATATATTAAGAGTCAGCTCATTCTATATTCTTCTCAGCTTCTTATTAAAACTTCTTATAATGAGCCCAAATCTACTGCCTTGTAACTTATTCTACACAGTTAACATATTCCTATCATAGTTTATTTTTAACAGAGGTCAGGCAAAAATTATTATATGTGCCACATAATTGTTGGAGTGAGGATGGAAATATTTAGTCAAAATGACCATTGTCATCATAATTTAAGAAATAACCACTTTATTTTTAGCAGTCGATAAGGAAAAAGATTGACAAAAGAAACTATAAGCAAGCATGCTGTTTTGAGTCGCCGGAGGATAGAGACGGCCCAAGAAGAATTTCAAGAGAACTGCTAATGAGAAACCTTCCGTGGTGAGACTTGAACTGACAAGCTATTCCCCCAGGCTCCTCGGGAACATCTCATAACTAATCGGGACATTCCATCAAGACCACATGCACAGGGCCACAGCCTAGACAGCAGAGCATCCAAACCGCCAAAGAAAATGTTGAGGCTGCACCAATAAGGGACTTTGTGCAATGCCTCTTTTATTGAAAAAATCTATTTAAATGAAATCTTTCTAGGACATTATGTCAAAACTGCAACTGGAAACGTCTGCTTTTCTCACCTGGAAGAATTGCCCCTATTAAACCATAGTAACTATAAACAGTAATTATGTATAGCTGTGCATAAGCATGCAAGTGTGTATCTATAGGTAACCATTTATTTAACAATATATATTAAGCACCTTGTGTGTACCAAGTACTGTTTTTTGTTGTTGTTAGTTTGTTTTTGAGATAGAGGCTCACTGTGTCGCCCAATCTGAAGTACAGTGGTACAATCACATTTCACTGCAGCCTTGACCTCTCTGGCTCAGGTGATCCTCCCACCTCAGCCTCCCGAGTAGCTGGGACCGCAGGCCTGTGTCACCACACCTGGCTAATTTTTGTAGTATTTGTAGAAATGGGGTTTCGCCATGTTGCCCAGGCTGGTCTCGAACTCATGGGCACAAGCAATCCTCCCACCTTGGCCTCCCAAAGTGCTGGGATTATAGGCATGAGCCACCATGCCAGGCCCAGGTACTGTTATAAGTGCTTGTGAATATGTCAGCAAATAAACAAATGTCCCTACCATTGTAGTGCTAACATTTTAGAAGGGAAAGTCAGAAAATAAACAGTAAGCATAATAATAAATTAATTAATTACAGTGTTAAGTTAGAAGGTGTTTCATGATACGGGAAAAAGAAAATTTGAACAGGGGAAGAGAATTGGGAGTACTGGAGGGGAGTGTGGACAGGGTTGCAACTTTAAATGGAGTGGTCCATGCAGGCCTTATTGAGAAGGTGGCATTAGTGCGAGACACGAAGGAGGTGAAGGAGTGAGTAGGCAATTTTCTTTGGGAATAATGGTCCAGGCAGAAGAAACTGCCAGGGCAAACTCTCTGAAGCGAAAGCATTCCTGGTGTGTCTGGGGAGTACCCCAGGGGCCAATGTGGCCGATGCCAAGTGAGCAAGGGGAAGGTAGCAGATGAGGTCATGGTGGATACTGGGAACCAAACCACGTAGGGGTTTGGGGTTCATTGCAAGGACTTTAGTTTTTATTCCAAGTGAGACAGGAAACTCAAAGAGCAACATGATCTGACTTCAACTTGGAAAAGAGCCCTCTGGCTGGTTTAAAAAGGAGCAAGGGTAGAAGCAGGGCTGAGGGACAGGAGCCCATGTCAGAGTCCAGACACGAGGTGATGAGGGTCGGGAGCAGTACACTTAATATGTCTGTGCAACTGCAGATTCATTTGTCCAGCAAATATTTATAGCCACTATGCCATGTGCTGGGGTGCTGTGGCAACCAACTTGCTCACAGTCTCTCTTCTATTACTGTAAACAACATGAGTTGACATGGATGGAAGGTTCCCTGCAGGTCAGGCTGGCTCTAAGCACTTGAAAGGTATTCTCTCTGAACCTGAACCTTATCTCAAGGGCTCAGGTGCCACTATTGTCCCCATTTAAAGGTGAGGCAAGTCCGGGCGCGGTGGCTCACACCTTTAATCCCAGCACTTTGGGAGGCCGAGACAGGCAGATCACAAGGTCAGGAGTTCAAGACCAGCTGGCCAATATGGTGAAACCCCGTCTCTACTAAAAATACAAAAAAAAATTAGCTCGGCGTGGTGGCAGGGGCCTGTAGTCCCAGATACTCAGGAGGTTGAGGCAGGAGAATCACTTGAACCCGGGAGGTGGAGGTTGCAGTGAGCCAAGATCGCGCCACTGCACTCCAGCCTGGGCGATAGAGCAAGACTCCGTCTCAAAACAAATAAATAAATAAAAATACAAATAAAAATAAAGGCGAGGAAAGTCAAACACTGAGAGAGTTGGCAGCCCAAAGTTGTGCAATCAGGCAAGTCAAGATTCGAGTGCATAGGCTTGGGCTACAGAGTGCCTTCCTGAAGATGGCTGTGTGATGAGGGTTATAATAGGATGACATGGGAGGGAGAGCAGGAGGGCCACCTGGAGGAGGTGACATTGAAGCTGAGGCTTCATAGGAGTTAGCCAGGGGAAGAGTGGATATAGGGAGGAAAGAATGCAGCGGTGGAAGGGGGAGGGAAAAGCATGTGCAAAGAAAGACCTAGAAGTGAGAAAGCAGGACATTGGAAAGACAGAAAAAAAACCCCAGATGTTGCTGGATCCTAAGTGTGCTAGGGGTGTTTGCACAGAATGAACTAGAAACACTGGCAGAGAGTAGAAGTTTGGGTTCATTAAATCTGTTAACCAAAAATCTACTAATTGGCTGGGTGTAGGGCTCATGCCTACTATCCCACCACTGTGAGAGGCCAAGGTGGGAGGACCACTTGAGGAAAGGAGGGCAAGACCAGTCTGGCCAACAGAGTGAGACTTTGTCTCTACAAACAGTGTTTTAGAAATCAGCCAGTAATTTGAGGCTACAGTGAGCTGTGAACACACCACTGCACTCCAGCCTGGGCAACAAAGTGAGACCCTGTCTCTAAATGAAAAAAAAAAAAAAAAAAAAACTACTAATTGCAGATTTGTCTTTAAAATTTTCTTCCTGGGATCTCACATTGGAAAACATATCAATTGAAAGAGTGGATCTTAGAGTCACAGAAGAAACGGCAGCCTAAGAAGTAGCTTGCAGTGGGGTCTTCAACGCCCCCCCCATCTCCATCCCCCCGTCAATCTAACCCAAAATGCACTAAGTAAAGATATGAGGCTGGGCACAGTGACTCACACCTGTAATCCCAGCACTTTGGGAGGCCGAGACAGGCAGATCACTTGAGGTCAGGAGTTCGAGACCAACCTGGCCAACATGGCGAAACCCCGTCTCTACTAAAAATACAAAAATTAGCCAGGCATGATGGTGCACGCCTATGGTCCCAGCTACTTGGGAGGCTGAGGCAGGAGAATTGTTTGAACCCAGGAAGCAGAGGTTGCAGTAAGCTGAGATCGCACCACTGCACTCAAGCCTGGAAAACAGAGCAAGACTTCGTCAAAAAAAAAAAAAAGAAAAAGAAAAAGAAAAACAGAAAAGGCATGAGGTAGCTATGCAAACAGCTTCAAGAAAGTCTCCTGCTTACATTTCCATCAAAGGGCTGCCCTAACCCTTCTAATACAAAAATTTTGTAGCCCCTGTTACAGACAAGTCTAATTGAATCCTGCTCTCCCATTTGTAGATACATGACATCTATAAACTTCATCTATCTACTCTCTAAAATTTACATGCTATTGCTCATCTCACAAGATCATCATCACTCTCTACTGAGCTAATGCATACTAATTGCATATTTGATACTTTTTATTCATTTGCAAAACTCAAATATCTAAGCAACGATTGCATGTTCTGAAAAAGAGAACATTTTAATTTTATTTTTTAATTTTAACTTTTTAAAAGAGATACAGTCTTGCTCTGTCACCCAGGCTGGAATACAGTGGCACAATATAGTTCACTGCAGCCTCAAGCTCCTGGGTTCAAGTGATCCTACTACCTCAGCCTCCCCAGTAGCTGGGACTACAGGAACATGCTACCGCGACTGGCTAATTTAAAACTTTTTTTGTAGATACGGGGTCTCACTTTGTTGCCCAGGCTAGTCTGAAACTCCTGGCCTCAAGTGAACCTCCCATCTTAGCCTCCCAAAGCACTGGACTAGCAGGCATGAGCCACCATGCCCGAAGAGTACATTTCTTATTGTCCCCCAAATTGGACAAATTATTTAGTCTTAAGCTATACAGGAATAGGAAAAGATTCAGATTCCACAAACTCTGTCCATTTCTGTCCAGAACATTTTATTGAGTTTGCTTCAAAATAAGATGAACTTTCTTGGCATATAACGTCTGGAGGTAGGACAATGCACTGACTTCTTAAGCACAGAATCCCCTTGACTTCCAAAGTGAGACCTGGCTTGGCCCGCTGAAAAGTGCCTAGACTTTGAAGCCAGATGGATTTGAGATTAACTGGGGTGATGTCGTTGATTGCTCATCAGTGGCACTGGGAATGAATTCGCACTGTGTTGTACTTACGTGGCTTTCTTTCTCAGCGGAAATGTTGCCATCAGTTCTTTTTGGGATATCAATAATTTGGCAAGAAAGAAAGTCTCCATCAATGTATTATAGAGACTGGGGGACAAAAATCTGAGAAATGCTACCTAAATTCCTGCAGGATGCATGCAGATGTTCACAAAGAACGTACACTAAGCAATTCAAAAAGCCACAGAATCATGCATGCTGAGCGCACACTTGCCTACATAAGGAGCAGCACTTTGACCTAGAAGCCAGGGACCAGGAAGGCAGTAAGAGAGAAAGAAACAGGGGATGTTGATTCCCCTGTTGTCCTTTGCACCCCTCTACTTAGTAGATCTAACTTAAGTTGTTCAGTGGGCAAAAGTCCAGTGTACTCAGTAGCTCCAAACCAACATTTAGTGTCAAAAAGGTATTTGGGGCCAAGTGTGGAGGCTCACGCATGTAATCCCAACACTTTGGGAGGCCGAGGCGGGCAGATCACCTGAGATCAGGAGTTCGAGACCAGCCTGGCCAACATGGTGAAACCCCATCTGTACTAAAAATACAAAAATTAGCCGAGTATGGTGGTGGGCACTTGTAGGAGGCTGAGGTGAGAGAATCTCTTGAACCCAGGAGGCAGAGGCTGCACTGAGCTGAGATCATGCCACTGCACTCCAGCCTGGGCAACAAAGGGAGATCATGTCTTAAAAACAAACAAACAGGTATTTGGAGCAAGCAATGGACCCAGTGACAGTAACAATTTCAAAGCAAGTAGAGATCCAATGGCAAAGATGGGAGAGGAACAGCCTCAATGTGTAGGAAAAGGTGGCTATAACTACAAAAGCCAAGACTGTGTATGGGGACAGGTGAGGGAGAGGATTCACTGCCTGTGATCCCCTGGCCAGTCGGGGATCCATCCATTTCACACATGGATGCCGAGAAAAAGATGTCTGAGAGGGCAGTGGGCAAGAAGAACAGTTGTGGCCGACTAGCGAGGGGATCACAGGCAGAAACATCAACCCTTTAAGATGCCATGAGCATTGCTGCCTGAAGGTGGCATCTCTCACTCTGAAGAATTCCTGTGAAGATTAAGAAGCCTTGCAATACATTTTTGGAAGGTCAGTTCACATCTGTTTTCTATTTGTCATATTCTGTCAGCACTTCTGTGAGAACTGAGCCATTACACCAGCCTTGGAAGCCAGAGGCAGCTGGATCCTTCAGGCCTGGCATCTCCCAGGCCCGCGGTCCTACCTCAGTGGAGGAAGAGTGGGAACTGCTGTGCATTCCAACTTCAGTTCCCTGTGTGTGCCGCTGCCACCATCGCTCACCTGCAAACTGCTTCAAAGAGCAAACAGGCACTAAGAATTCAGCCTGGTGAATCCATTGTTCTCCTCCCCATAAAACAACAAACAACTTAGAGGCTTTTCAATCCTCTGATGTGTTTAATTTGTTATCTAGCAACAAAAAGAAGGAAAAGAAAAAGAAATTCTCCCAAATTCTATGCAATTTACAGTCCTGCAACTACATACGGAACTGGGATTTGCCTGAGAGACATATTGCAAAACAATCGGCCCCAAGGAAAATTCCAGAACTCAACAACACTCACAGTGGCCTAGTGATGGTTATCAGAATGGTGTTTCTAAATGGTGCTTATCAGTGTGCAGAGTCACTTATCACCAGTAGGCAAAGAGTTCCATGGATGTGGTTCAAAGGGCAGCCCAAGAAGCACCTGGGTCACATTCCTGCCCATCTGCCTGCAGCCCTCCCACGCCAGTAGGTAACCTAGACTTGCTTCACAGGGTCGGGGTTTGGGAAGACAAGGCATCTATGACAGGCTACTTCGCTCAGATCAATGTGTAACAATCAATGCCCAGTGCTTAATTTTAACAATAAGAATTTTATGGTGAGAGATGAACAGTCAATACTTAAGTTGGTCAGCCGGTGGCGGTGGCTCATGCTTGTAATCCCAGCACTTCGGGAGGCCGAGGTGGGTGGATAAGGTGAGGTCTGGAGTTCGAGACCAGCCTGGCCAACATGGTGAAACCCCATCTCTACTAAAAATACAAAAATTAGCCGGGCATGGTGGTGGGTGCCTGTAATCCCAGCTATTCGGGAGGCTGAGGTAGAAGAATCACTTGAACCCAGGAGGCGGAGGTTGCAGTGAGCCAAGATCACACCACTGCACTCCAGCCTGGGCAACAAGAGCAAAACTCTGTCCCAAATTTAAAAATAAATAAGTAAATAAAAATAAAATAAAATAAAATACTCAAGTTGGTCATGGCTTAAACATTTTTTAAAAATTTTTTTTTTTTTTTTTTTTTGAGACAGAATCTCACTCTGTTGCCCAGGCTGGAGTGCAGTGGTATGATCATGGCTCACTGCAGCCTCAACTTCCTGGGTTCAAGTGATCCTCCTGCCTCAGCCTCCCACGTTGCTTGGACTACAGGTGCATATGCCATCACACCTGGCTAATTTTTTGATGTTTTGTTGAGAGAGCATCTCACTATGTGGCCCAGGCTGGTCTTCAACTCCTGAGCTCAAGTAATCCTCCCGCCTCAGCCTCCTGAAGTGCTGGGATTACACATGTGAGCCACCACACCTGGCTAGTCAGGTCTTAAATTATCAAGATCTTGGGTGATTACTTTGAGGCTTCTGAGCAGATGAGAACGTATGACCGATGCCTGAACATAAGGCTGCCTTGGTAGGAGGCTAAAAATCCTGTGACTCTACAGAAATCGGTTACAGAAGTCTAATTATTTGTGTTCACTAGTAATTCTGTGTTGTTTTAGAACTAGCTTTAAAATGAGGAAATACTTAATTTAATGATCACTACCCACGTACTGTGTTTCTGTGACTATTTGTTGGTGTTTCTGTGAAAACAACAGCAGCCGCTTGTTACTGCAGAAATGGTCCCTTTGGAAATCAGCAGCACTTCGTTTAACGCTGGCATTTTTGTTGCGTGTCTCCCCAGAAATGCTTGGCTTAATATTCTTACAATAGGGAAAAAAAAAAAAAAAAAAAAGCAATAAAAGCTTTTGAAGCCAAATGCCCCTTAAAAAAACTGCTGATGGGGAAATCTTTTCTCACACAGAAAGAGATTTCAGTTAAGATGATCAAATAAAATAAGCTATATTTAAAGTTTCTGGCTCTTTCGTTTACCTTAGTCAAATAAAGCTTGTGTATTTTAGAGATGAAATCAAAGGTCATTCTTCTGATAGAGACAGATTCTGGGGATTGTCTCCTATTTGGGAAGCCATTTTAGCAGTGACTTCAGCCTTGGCAGGTGATAATGCTGTTCAAGTCATATTCAGTAAAGGGAAGAGTTCCAAAATCTTTCATTTCTGTACTGAAGATCCTATGCTTGCAATATGTATAAGGCATTATTTACTAGCCAGCCTGGCCCATAAAGTAATGTGGTGAAACCCTGTCTCTACTAAAAATACAAAAATTAGCGGGGTAGGATGGCACACGTCTGTAATCCCAGCTACCAGGGAGGCTGAGGCACAAGAATTGCCTGAATCCGGGAGGTGGAGGTTGCAGTGAGCCAAGATCTTGCCACTGCACTCCAGCCTGGGTGACAGAGTGAGACTCTGTCTCAAAAAAAACATTGTTTATTGGTTTTCTGATCTGCACCAAATCTTGATTGTCAGTTTGCTCTCCTTCTTTGTTAAATGTCTGTGATAAACAAATGCTCATCTAAAACATTCATTTGTCAACAAAGGAATGTATGTGTTGGAGGGAGTCAACAACCAAGAATTAGAGTAATTGAAGTTGGTTTTTTTCTTCCACATATTTCCCTTGGTAGAATCTATCCCTGTGTGATAGCATTAACTCTCATCTGTTTCATACCAAACTAAAGCCTACATAATCTAAATGCATTTGAGCTAATCCTTCAACTTTGCTACCTTCATCATAATTGCCAATAAGTTGTAAATATAGCTGGCTTGAGCCAGGCATAGTGGTGCATACATGTAGTCCTAATTTCTTGGGGGGCTAAGGCAGGAGGATCGCTGGAGCCCAGGAGTTCAAGTTCAGCCTGGGCAACATAGTGAGACCCCATCTCCTAAAACATATATATATGTTTTATGTATAAATATATATGTACTAAATATGTTTTATATGAAAATATTTTTATATTAAATACATATATAATTTAAGCCATATATATATATATATATATGTATATGAGGCTTAAAATTTACTTTAGTCATTTCCCCTGCTCACCTCTGCTCATTCTTCCTTTAGTGCCCAATCCAAATGTCACCTCCTCTGAGGCCTCACTTTCCTGTTCTCAGTCATCCTCCATGAATAAATTCTCCCTATGCTTTGTATATACACCTATTGTGCTCATCCTATTTTACTTTTTTTTTTTTTTTTTTTTTTAGAGACATGGTCTCACTCTGTTGCCCAGGCTGGAGTGCAGTGGTGCGATCATGACCCACTGCAGCCTCAACCTCCTGGGCTCAAGACATCCTCTTTCCTCAGCCTCTTTAGTAGCTGTGGCTACAGTTGTGCCCCACCACAGCTGGCTAATTTTTAAAATTTTTTGTAGAAACGGGGTCTTGTTATGTTGCCCAGGCTGGTCTTGAACTCGTAGTCTCAAGTGATCTTCCTGCGTTGGCCTCCCAAAGTACTGGGATTACAGGTGTGAGCCACCACCTGGCCTCAGCCAACTTTATAGTCATGGGTTCATGTGTCATTTTCATTAGGTTGAATCAAGACAGGGACTATGCCTCATTCATCTTTGTATGCCAGGCCCCGGCTTAGTACCTGCCGTTATAGAAGGTTTTTATAAATAGTTGTTGAAGGAAAGAAAGTCATGTGTTGAGCACTCTGATGGGACAAAGGATAGAGAAGGAGTCAGTCCCTACTCTCAAAGAGCATACAATATAGTGAGCCAGAAAAGACCTGGGCATAAATACAATGCAAGAATGTGTGTGACAGATGGCATTGCTAGTAAGACATTTGAGAAAGGCCTCAGTGAATGCTGGGAGGACCTTCCAAACAATAGACCTGCATCAGCAAAGGAAGAAAAAACATGAGGTTTCTTTAAGTTGCCCAGGTGATGTTAGGTAGGTGTCAAAAAGCGGTGGGAGATAAGGTTGGAAATCTGGCTGGGCCTGAGTGGTTGAAGGTCAGAAGCTTTGGAAATTCTTCTTCAACTGATAGAGATCCACTAACAGTCTCTTAAGCACCAACAGTGGTGTGGAAAAGGTGGGTTGTCATTGTCTTTGAGGGTAAAATGTAACTGGATTGTTGAGAAGAAAGTGGACAAGAATCCTGACTAATTTTCATGGCCCATTCCCTCAGCTACTGAATAGAGAGCAGGAGAAAGACATTATCACAGCAATGTTTTAAAAAGATAATTTTTCCAGGATGCAAGGAAGGACATTTGGATGAGAGGGAGGAGGCAGGGAGACCAGGTGGGAAGCTAGATGTTATAAAGGCCTGAAGAAATGCTGTGGAGGTCAAAGGAAGGGGATGTGCAAAGGAAAGGGTTACTGTGAGAACTCCATCACAGTTAATTAATTGAAAGGGACCTGGTTTGGTTAGGGGGAGGGGGACAGAGGCAAGATGACAAGTTGTGTTTCAGATATAATATATGTAAGGTGCTAGAAACACAACCAGGAGGAGATTTCCATCAGATCATTGGAGATGTGTGAAAAGAACGTGAGGGAGAGACAGGGACAGAGAGAAATTTGGCAGCTCTTGACAAAAAGGGATGGATGGCAAAAGCTACATGACTCCACTCATCCCATGAAGATGAAGGGGATCCTAGCTGGAAAATTCCAGGACCAAACCTTAGGAGAAGCCTTCATTTAGGAGGCAGAAGGAACACAGCCAGCAAAAATGGTCAAAGGTGATAAATGTCATGTTATGTGAACTTTAACACAATAAAAAACACACTGGGGGAGAAAAAGAGGCCCATTAGCTACCACTCCCTTCCCTTCCATCCCCGGCCTCCCAGCCCCCAGTGCTCACCAATCTACTTTCTGTCTCCATGAGTTTGCCTGTTCTGGATGCTGTACATGGATGGAATAATGATGTCATTTGAGGTCTTTTGTGTCTTTCATTTGGCATAGTGTTTTTAAGGTTTGTCCATGTTGTGGCTGGCTTCACTACTTAATTTCGTTGACAAATAATATTCCATTCTAGGGATATGCCACATTTTGGTTTTTGTTTTGGGGGGATGGGGTCTCGCTATGTTGCCCAGGTTGGTCTCAAACTCCTGGCTTCAAGTAATCCTCCCACCTCAGCCTCTCAAGTAGCTGGGATTACATCTGTGAGCCACAGCACACAGCTCTGATATGCCACATTTTGTTTATCTATCTGTCAGTTGATGGATATTTGGGTTGTTTCCACCTTTTGGTATTATAAATAATGCTGCAATAAACATTCCTGTACAAAAAAGATAGATATTAAGAATCATCATATGAGAAGGTTATCAATGAACATGAAGCCAAAATTAGTAGGAAAAAAAGTTATAAAGGTGTGTCAGGCAATTACTGAGTAAAAACATTATTTTCCTTTATTGTGTAATGGTTTTGTATTTGTCAGCTATTAAAATTTTATATTATATCGTATTTTCTACTGCAAATTCGTATTCACATGTATACCTTAAAAAAATGGCATTAGGAATCTAGGAGAACCAGGAACATAAGGTCTAAGGAAGCCAAGCGGGGTGTAGTTTCTAGAGAGGTGGTCAGGAAGTACAGAGAGTTCAAGGACAATGGAGATGGAGCAAACACCTGTGTATCTCATGACTAAGAAATCACCAATGACTTTCAAGAGGGCACTTCCAGGTGAAATACAGGACAAAACCACAAGTCTAGGCGGCTGAAAATTCAAATGCTTACAAGAAGGATACTCTGACAACCTGGTGACCACATGCCCCACCCAAAGGTAGTGGCTAGCGGCTGTACCCACATCATTGTTGCCATGTAGAAAAGGTGGCTCAGACCAGTCAGCTGTGTGACCTTTATGGAAAAGTCTGGAATCCTCATTTTTAAGTGAAATTTCCCACTTTTAAAAACACCGTGAAGGTTGAGTAGAACACCCCTATAGGCTCTATCTGGTATTTGAGCTACCAGTTCTAGCAACCCCTGCTTTAAGGGCTTGCTTTGAGGCATTGACAACAGGACAGGAATCTTTTGAAATGTAAGACAGTGCAAGGGTATCCAGTCTGATGGGTGTGTTATGGTTGGGAGGAGACCAGAGTGCTAATAGGTATCAAAGGGAAGATAGAAGATTCTGGCGAGAGAGGTCCAAGAAGGGGGTGGAGGATGTGAGATCCTTAGGGAGAAGGGAGACCTTTTCCTTTGAGATGAGTGGGATGAAGAGAGTGAGCAACAGAAATGTTAGGTGTTGAGAATGAGGGTCAAAGTGAATGAAGGAACATCGAAGACCCTGAAATTAGTGTCTCAGTGAACTCTAAATAGAAGTAAAGCTCTCTCAGGTCCTCACTTCCAAGATGACAAAGAAAAGAAGAAACAGTGGCCAGGTGCAGTGGCTCACGCCTGTAATCCCAGCACTTTCAGAGGCTGAGGTGGGCAGATCACTTGAGTCCATAAGTTCAAGACCAGCCTGGCCAACATGGAAAAACCCTGTCCATACAAAAAATACAAAGATAGCTGGCTGTGGTGGCGCATGCCTATAGTCCTAGCTATGTGGGAGGCTGAGGTGGGAGGATCACTACAGCCCCGGACGTCAAGGCTGCAGTGAGCCAAGATGGCGCCACTGCACTCCAGCCTGGGTGACAAAGCGAGACCCTGTCTCAAAAAAAAAAAAAAAAAAAAAAAAAACAAGAAAAAGAAAAGAAGAAACTGATTGTGCCAAAAAGGGCCAAGGCCACACACAGCCTGTTCCCTGTACAACTGCACCCAATGTGTGCCCAAGGACAAGGCCATTAAGTTCGTCATTAAAAACAAAGTAGAGGCCATAGCCATCAGGGCCATTTCTGAAGTGAGTGTCTTTAACACCTGTGCTTCCCAGCTGTATGAGAAACTGCATTGTGATATGAGTTGTGCCATTCATGGAAAAGTAGTCAGGAGTCATTCTCATGAAGCCCAGAAGGATCCAATACCCCTCCCTGATTTAGACCTAATGGTGCTGTTCCATGACCTCCGCGAAAGCCCGTATAAGGTGTTTTCAATCTTAAGGATGGAAAACTATCCTCTGGAAAAAAATGAAATAGCAATTATACTTTGTTAAAAAAGTAGACATTGAGATCATCTGCTGAGGATGAGAGAGACAAAGCCTGGGCTTTATGCTGTGGCAGGGTGAGGAGTGTCTGAAATGGTCCCCAGGGTCAGGATCTAACCAGCAACAAATCAAACCAATAAAGACCTGGTTGAGTTTGAAAGCACACAACCATAGGGATTTTTCACTTAATCGTCACTTTTTAAGTGGCTGCTTCATTCTGGGTACCGGGCTAAACTCTAGAGATTTCCAGTCAAGTAAAGGAGATAGATGAAGAAACAAGTAATTACCACAGGGCTGTATATGTCATAAAAGGGGTATAAACAGGGCACTTTTGAGAAAACAGAAGAGGAACATCCTGGAAGGCTTTCTGAGGAGGAGGCATTTAAGTTTATATTTGAAAGATAAGTTGTAGTTGCTAAGAAAACAATGTGGAAAGCCAGAAGAGACAATCTATACAAAGCACTAGAAGGAGCAACAAGCATGGGGCATTCCGGGAATCTCAGCTAATTCCACAGATCTGAAACAGAGTGCCTTGGCAGATTAGGAGGGGGTGAAGTTGAAGAGCTGACACGAAGAAGCATAAATAGTCATGGAACTTGGACTTGCCCTATAGACAAGAAAGAGCCATAGAAGAATTTCAGGCATAACAGTGACATCATCAGTTTGTTAGAAAGAACACACTGGCTTCATCAACGAGGAGGCCAATTTTGATGTGCAATTATGAACCCAGCCCCAAAAGAAACATCTTGCTGGATCTAACTAAATCATGGCACTCTTAATCTCTTTATCCACTAATTAATCTAGGGTGGGGACATGCAACCCAGTTCTGGTCAATGGGGTATAAATGGATGTCTAAGGGAGCCTCTGGGAAAGAGTTATTTGGTAACAGAGAAATGCTTGAGAAGAAAGCATTTTATTGTCCCCTTGCTTCCTTCTCTTTCTAGATATTACTCTATGAAGATGTAATGTTTGGAGCTGCAGCGATCATTTTGGAATCATGAGGCAATCAACCTAAGAATGAAAGCCAACAAGTTGAAGAAAGCAGGACAGAATAAAGACCCTGGATTCTTGGTGACACTTTTGGTTTCCAAAACTACTCTGAGATGGCCAGCTTTGAACTTACCAAGTCAATAATGAAAGCTTGTATGGTTTAAATCATGATTAGTTGGCTTTTTTGTTAATTGCCACAATGCCTTATATGTGGCCATCACAGTAGAAAATTGAGGGAGCGAAAGATCCTAACCTGCTACAGGGGTCACTCAGAGATAGCCTCATTTCCATACTCAGGAGACAGGATGCATACTCTTGGTTAATCTTCTGTGTGTCTCATTAGTCTTTATCCTTCCCTTCCATAGTCTCAGCTGAATCAGATGAAGCTACTTTATTCATCTACATTTTCTTCTTTGTTGCTTTCCTTGTTCTCTCCCAGACGGAATTCATTTTTCTCATTTAAAGTCTGATATGGTTTGCCTTTGCATCCCCACCCAAATTCCATCTTGAATTGTAATCGTCAGGGGTTGAGGGAGAGACCTGGTGGGAGGTGACTGGCTCATGGGGGCAGATTTCTCCCATGCTGTTCTCGTGATAGTGAGTGAGTTCTCACGAGATCTGATGGCTTTATAAGGAGCTCTTTCCCCTTCGCTCTCCCTCACTTCCCTCCCGCCACCTTGTGAAGGAGGTGCCTGCTTCCCCTTCACCTTCTGCCATGATTGTCAGTTTTCTGAGGCCTCCCAAAGCCATGCAGAACTCTGAGTTAATTAAACCTCTTTCCTTTATAAATTACCCAGTCTCAGGTATTTCTTTATTGCAGTATGATAACAGACTAATACAAAGTCCCAGGGTCTTAGTATATATTTATTATTTATTTATTTATTTATTTTGAGACGGAGTTTTGCTCTTGTTGCCCAGGCTGGAGTGCAATGGCTCGATCTCGGCTCACCACAACCTCCGCCTCCTGGGTTCAAGCAATTCTCCTGCCTCAGCCTCCTGAGTAGTTGGGATTACAGGCATGGGTCACCATGCCCGGCTACTTTTTTTGTATTTGTAGTAGAGACGGGGGTTTCTCCGTATTGGTCAGGCTGGTCTCAAACTCCCAACCTCAGGTGATCTGTCCGCCTCGGCCTCCCAAAGTGCTGGGGTTACAGGCATGAGCCAGCGCGCCCAGCCGGGTCTTAGTATTTATTACAATAAATTGTAGTTCATTCGGAGGCCAGAGACTCTGTTTTCTTTATCTTAGTGCTTATGGCAGAAAGACTGGCAAATATTAATAATAGGTCCTCAGAAAGTGTGTTTTAAATGGAATTTTGAGAAAGGGGCCTGAATAACAATAAGGACAATCGTGAGCTTTTTCATGAGCTTCCCCAGATTTGCCTGACTGGCTTCTGAGCTGCTTGCAGAATGGACAGCTCTGGTGGTGCACACCTTCTCCTATGGAGTGACTACCTCAGGCATGGCCTCCATTGCGCCCACACAGTGAGAGCTGTAGCAGAACTGCTTCTCAAGTCAGTCCAACCAGACTGTGGAGTCTTTGGCACCTCCCCCGACTTCCAGATGCAGAGATAGCACTGTGCCTCAGGATGTGGCTTCCCCATTGGCTGCCTGGAGGGGTCTTTGCCTGAGAGTGCTAGAGAGTTATCACTCTTTGAGGTCTACTTGGACCAAAGAGAGACAGGAGGTGCAAAGGAGCCCACACGTTAAGTCATCCCCCTCACTCCTTGGTGGACCACTCTGTGCACCATAATTACATACAGCCCAACCAAGCAACCCACTGTGTGATCTCATGAAGCTGTAGCCCGCTTCCTGATGCCCCACTTTGCACTTGCTTTTTCTCCATCCCTGACTGACTTCCTTTTTACTCACTCTTGCTGCCCTGGAATTGTACTCCCTTCCTTCTAATACAATATTAGGCCAGGTGTGGTGGTTCACCCCAGCATTTTGGGAGGCCAAGGCAGGAGGATCGCTTGAGGCGAGGAGTTCAAAATCAGTCTGATCAACTTAGCGAGACCCTGTCTCTACAAAAGAAAAACAAACAAAAAATTAGTCAGGCATAGTGGTGTGTGCCTGTAGACCCAAATACTTGGGAAGCTGGGGCGGGAGGATCACTTGAGCCCAGGAGTTGAGGCTACAGTAAGCCATGATTGCACCACTGAACTCTGGCCTGAGTGACAGAGTGAGACCCTATCTCAAATAATAATAATAATAAACTATTTGTATATGCCCTTGCCTCCATCTTTGCTTTCTAGGCTAAGACAAAGAGTTATAGCTATGACTCAGAATCCATTTTCTTGTTGTATGTTTGTGGATATGACTTCAGTTTAAATTCTTTTTCTTTTGAGATGGAGTCTCACTCTGTTGCCCAGGCTGGAGTACAGTGGCGCCATCTCGGCTCACTGCAACCTCTGCCTCCCGGGTTCAAGCAATTCTCCTGCCTCAGCCTCCCGAGTAGCTGGGATTACAGGTGCCTGCCACTATGCCTGGCTAATTTTTGTACTTTTAGTAGAGACAGGGTTTTATCATATTAGTCACGCTGATCTCGAACTCCTGACCTCAGGTGATCCGCCTGCCTCAGCCTCCCAAAGTGCTGGGATTATGGGCATAAGCCACCGCATCCGGCCTAAATTCTCCTTTAAACATAGGTAACCAGGGATGCCAAAACAGCACAGGATTTCTAAACATTCTATTTGTTTAAGGAAACCATTATCTATGGGGGCATTTTGTGAAAAATCAATCTGTTCATTTTAAAAATAATCTTAGAAGAGGTGAAGTGAGGTCTCAAGGGTAGCAGATTAACTCCTAGGATAAGCAAACATTTAATTGTCCTTAATTTTAAACATTATCAGTTTGAGCTTGATCATGATTCCTTTAAAGTGGCTTTATTTCTCAACACATCAAGCATGTGTTGACAAGTTTCTTGAAAGAGAGTTGGAATAATAATTGAAAGAAAGATAATTATTCTTTGCTTGATGTTTGGCTATCTTAATGCCATCTAATGTCAATAAAAGTTACAGCAAATGCCCTAAGAGTATCTGAGTTATTTTCTTGTGATGGATATGAAACACTATATTACTTTTAAGCATTATTCTGTTTGTCACAGATTTCTTTTTGATGCAGTTAAATTTGTTTTATATTAAATACATGTAGAAGTTAAATATAATTAATAGAAATATCCTTAGGGGAAAAAATAAGGTTTGAATTTCGGTGGCAGCATAATCAGCTTGGATTTGTGGATGCCTCTGCCTGTAGGGGTCTGGAATCATTAACCCAAATAAATGAAAAGCATAATTTACGGTAGAGATATTAACCTACTTAATCTTACCTGACATAAGAAACAAAGTAAAAAAAAAAAAATGTTAGTGTATTGCTAAACCACCCAGAACAGAAACACATATACAAACTGAAAAAGAAAAAAGAGTAACTATTGGGTCTGGAAAGGACCCGCAGGGGAATTGTACAAGTTGAGAACCTACCAAGATAAAAATGGAGTACAAGAAACCTGGCAAAGATGACAATCTTGATAATTTGAATCTCAAATGATTTGATCATACTTTCCTGAGAAATACCCCATATGAGACTAGGAAATAATAGCATTCATACTGAAATATGTACATCTTAAATGCAGTCAGCTCTCAACCATCCCACTAATTGATGAGAGTATAGTGGGGCCAGGCAAGGCAGCTCACATCTGTAATCCCAGCACTTTGGGAGGCCAAAGCAGGAGGATCACTTGAAGCCAGGAGTTCGAGACCAGCCTAGGCAGCATAGCAAGACCCCGTCTCTACATAAAAACTAAAACATTAGCTGGGTGTGTCTGATGGCACAAGCCTGTAGTCCTTGCTACTTAGGAGGCTGAGGTGGGAGGATCACTTGAGCCCAGGAGTTTGAGGCCTCAGTGAGCTGTTATTATGCCACTGCATTCTGACCTGGGCAACAGAGTGAGACCTTATCTCTAAAACAAAAAAATTAATAAATAAATAAAAAAGAAATTAGAGTATAGTGGGCCCAAAATCAATCAGCAAATTTGTTAAATGCTAACTATGAGGATTAAAAAGGAGACTTTTGCCAAAAAAAACACTGCCCGGGTTCCTCCAGCTGTGCTCCCTGATCAAACTGGAAATTGCCAATGCCATTTACAACCTGCTTTATTCTTGAGCTTGCCTACTTTCCAGCCCCTCTGGAAAAGGAAAGATAAGAAGAAGTAGGGAGGGAATGGTAAGGGGGTAGGATGGTTCAGGGAGCAGAATTTTAAGAAGGCAATGGCCAGTGATCAAGTGTTGTTCTAAAACAAGAGGAATAAAGAAAGCCTTTGGTTACTTAGAAACAGTCATGATGTTCTTCAAAAGAGTAGTTTCAGACATTCCAACTTCTGGCCATAATGAAGTAGCTGGAACTGGAATTCACCTTGAAGAACTAGAAAAACAGACAAAATATGTGAAACAGCTGTTTCCAGACTTTGGATGATAGGTAATATGGGACTGTGATCCCTGAGATAATGCGGCCTTAAGATCCCCCGGGCTTTCTGCCTGAAGACACATGTCTAGTGATGCAGCAGGGAAGGGCACCTGTGTAAGACACAATGGTCTTATTGAGTTGAGGAGACCAAGATCAGAATTCAGGAGGGTTGAGGTAGCTGGAAATTGTAGGGCAGAGTTGCAGAGTTTCTCTCTCAGAAAGAGAGTTCCAGAAATCTGCATGGTGTCATTTTGAGCCTTTGCTGAATATGGTGAAACTCCATTGAGCGAAGAGAGATTGCGAACTGAACAGCAGTTCCTGAGCTTACGAAGGGCTGGGAATTGCTCAAGGGCTGACCAGCCAGAGGGGAGTGTCCTCACTGATCACTCGGAGCATTCAGTGAAAGCACTAGAAGGGCCATGCCTTGGAAATGTTACTAAACTGTTCCTAGGATAAAAGCTACTTTAGGTCTGCCCTAACAAAGCTTGAAAACAAATCCCAAAAGGGCCAAACTAAACCACAAGTACCTTTCTGCCTGCCACTACAAAACACGACAGTCTTTGAAGGAAGATGTAAGATCTAGACACTCAATAATATAAAACTGACAATGTTCAGCATCCAATAAAAAATGACTAAACAAGTCAAGAAGCAGAAATATGTGACCCATAACCAGAAAAATAATCACTCAAAGGAAACAGACCCAGAAATGACAGATACAGAATTAGCAGAGAAGAATATTAAAACACCTATTATAATTATTGTTGACTATTTAAATGAAAACATGAACAAAGTGAGGAAAGAAATTGAAGGCATTAAAAAAAGAGAGAGAGAGAAGTTTCAGGAGAATGACACCATACTGAAAAAAGAAAGGAGTGAAGAAGACAAAATTAAGGTAGAGAACAAAGACCATTTATTCAAGAAGTATAGCTGGAAAGACAGAAAGGGGTAGCAAGGCAAAGGCTAGGCAGCTGTTGGTTGGTTTTCTTAGAAAAAAAAAGAGAAAAGCAAAAAAGAAAAGCAAAAGAGGACGCAGCTGAGAAAGCAAGCTTTAATTGTTAGAGGAAATTATGTGAGGTTAATGGTTCTAGGAAGCTTTAGGAGAGAACTTATCTCTGAAGAGAAGAGGGATGATTTTATCCTGAGATAATTGAAAGAGGTAAACATAAAATAGAGACAGAAAGTTCAAGGGAATTAAACAAGGCCAGGTTAACTAAGGGAGTTTCAGTAAACAGGAAGCAAAATCCTTCACTAAGAGGTGACAGGATTGGGAAGAGCAATGTGTGAAAAAAAAAAAAAAAAAAAAAATGAGAAGGGAGAACC